>NC_000003.12:172796483-172947998 GCF_000001405.40 Homo sapiens | reverse complement strand
GAGATTGTTTTCTAGATCTTGAAGGCATGCTTCATTCTTTTTTTCTTTTTTTAATTTTACTTTAAGTTCTGGGATACATGTGCAGAATGTACAGGTTTGTTACATACGTATACATGTGCCATGGTGGTTTGCTGCACCTATCAACCCATCATCTAGGTTTTAAACCCCACATATATTAGGTATTTGTCCTAATGCTCTCCTTCCCCTTGCCCCTCACTCCCCGACAGGCCCCGGTGAGTGATGTTCCCCTCCCTGTGTCCATGTGTTCTCATTGTTCAACTCCCACTTATATGTGAGAACGTGCGGTGTTTGGTTTTCTGTTCCTGTGTTAGTTTGCTGAGAATGATGGTTTCCAGCTTCATCCATGTCCCTGCAAAGACAAGAACTCATCCTTTTTATGGCTGCATAGTATTCCACTTCTAATCAGCACCTCTACCCCTACACCACCGTGTTGCTATTGTAAACAATATTCAGATATTCTGTGAATGCAAGCGAAACGTAAGCTAACATGGAGAGGTGTTTCTGGAAAGGTATGAACAAATCCAGTCAAACCCACATGTACTCAGAGCATACATTACGTAAAGGAAATCCAAGGTGGGTTCCCTGGTGCCTTATGTAGATTGTTTGGTGAGGTCATGTTTCCCTGGATGTTCTCGATGTTTGTAGATGTTTATCAATGTCTGGGCATAAAGAGTTTATTTGAAGAGTTATTAAAGAAGTGTTTATTGTTGTCTTTGCAGTCTAGGCTTGTTTGTACCTATCCTTTCTGGGAAAGTTTTCCAAGTATTTAAAGAGAATTGAGTGTTGTGATCTAAATCTTTGATCCCTGCAGCCATCTCTGCATTAGGGGGCACCTAAAGTCCTGTAACACTGTGACTCTGGCAGACTCATTAGAGGTACCACCTTGGTGGTCTTGGGTAAAATCCAGGAGCATTCCCTGGACTACCAGGTAGAGACTCTAATTCTCTCTCTTTCCTTTCCCCTAACAAGTGGAGTCTCTCTCTCTGCGCTGAGCTGCCTGAAGCTTCAGGAGAGGTGATACAAGCACTCCTATGGCCATGACAACTGGGACTATGCTGGATAAGATGCAAAGACTGCAAAGCACTGGGTCCCTCCCAAGACCCACCCAGTCACTACCTGGCTACCACCTATATTCACTCAAGGCCCAAGGGCTGTTCAGTCCGCAGGTGGTGAATCCAGCCAGGCTTGCGTCCTTCCCTTCAGGGTGGTGAGTTCCCTGCTGGCCCAACTCTAGTCCAGAAATGCTGTCCATGAGCCAGGGCCTGGAGAGGGGAACCTTTGGAATCTACTTGGTACTATGTTCTACGTGGCTGAGCTGGCACCCAAGCCACAAGACAAAGTCCTTTCCATTTTTCTGTCTCATTTGCTCATACAGAAGGAGTCTCCCCCTGGGGCCACTGCTACCCAGGCTCATGGCTAGTACTGTCTGGCTACTGTCAGTGTTCACTCAAGGCCCAAGAGCTCTTCAGCCAGCTTGTGGTGAATGTTCCCAGGGCTGGGTCTCTCCTTTCAGGGCAGGAGGCTTCCCTTTGGCCCAGGGCGGATCCAGAAATACTGTCTAGTAGCCAAGGCCTGAAACTGGGGACCACAGGAGCCTGCTTGACTAAGCTCTTGCCCAAGCTGCAAAACAGAGTTCCCTTTACTCTTTTCTCTCCTTTCCTAAAGGAGAAGGAATCTCTTCCCATGGCTACCACAGCTAGGAATGTGGCCACATCTGAATCCAGTATAGGCCTGGATTTCACCCAAGGTGCCCGGTGAGTACTCCCTGGGTACTTCTGATGTTTATTCAAGGCCAAAGTGCTCTTTAATCAGCAAGTGATGAACCCTGCTAGGACTGGGCTCTTCCCTTCAAGGCAGCAGGTTCCCTTCCAGCTCAGGTTGTGTCTGGTAATGTTGTCTGAGAGAATAGTGCCCTATCCTGTGGCTGGGCTGGTATCCAAGTTGCAAGACAAAGTCTTCTTTACTCACCCCTCTCCCTTTCTGAAGCAGAAGGAAGGAGTCTCTCCCAGAGCTGTGAGCTGTACTACCTGTGGTTGGGGGAGAGGTGACACAAGAACTCCCATAGCCACCCCAGCTGGTGTCTCCCTAGTGTCATGTACCCCAAGTCCACTGACTCCAAATCCAGCATAGCGCCAGAACTTACCCAATAATTGAGGTCCTTGTAGCCTAGACTACCTTTCAAGTTTATTTAGAACCCCAGAGCTTCTTTAGCCCATGGTGGTGGGGCTAGCCAGAATTCAGGTTCTGACCGCTGGGATGGAGAATTCTTCCCTGGCTAGGGCTGATCTAAATGCTCCCTCCATGGGTGCTGACTGGGTTCTGCCCCCATGTTGCTTTCCATTGTGACAAGGCAGCACTGAGTTCCAATACAAAGTCCCACAATTACTGTATTCTCCCTCCACCACGCACACAGTCTCTCTCTACTGCCAGGGAATGGGGAAGGGGTGACATCAGCAATTCAAGACTATCTTCCCTTCCCTCTTTTGTGCTTCTTTCCTTTATGTGATGTTAAAATCAAGGACTATAATGGTCCATCTAATTTTTTGTTCTTATGAAGGTATTTCTTGTATGGATAGTTGTTCAGTTTGGTGTTCCCATGAGGGAGACAATCACTGGAGAGTTCTATTTGGACATCTTGCTCTGCCTCCTCCTTATTAGCTCTTTGATGTTCTTAGAAAAATCTACTTTTTAGATTTCTTCAAGGAATATTAGTTGTCTTCAGAAAGAAGGTTGGTCCAAATTGTTCTGAGATTACAAGAATCAGAAGCTTTTATTTTTTTAGTTATGTAATATTTGAAATATGCTAAAAGACACAAAAATAATGAACACCTACATAATTACCATCTTATTTGAGAAATAAAACATTAAAAGTATTGTATAGTTGAAGTTCCCAAGATTTTTCGGATCCTAATCTACTCCCTCCCCTCCAGAGGTAATCACTATCATAAATTTGTTTATTATTCCTTTTTTATTATAGTAAAATATACACAATGTAAAATGTACCATTTTAAACACTTTTAAGTGTACAGATCAGCAGCATTAACTACATTCGCATTATTGTGCAACCATTACCACCATCCATCTACAAAACCTTTTCATTTTCCCAAACTGAAACTCTACCCATTAAATAATAACTCTCCATTTTCTTCTCCCCCCAGATCCCCTAGCAAACACTATTCTATTTTCTGTCTCTGTGAATTTGACAGCTCCAAGTGGAATCATATAGTATTTGTCCATTTGTGTCTGGCTTATTTCACTTAGCATAATGTCTTCAAAGTTCATCCATATTGTAGCCAATGTCAGATTTTCCTTCCTTTCTAAGGTTAAATAATATTCCATTGTATGTGTATATCACATTTTGTTTATCTATTTTTCCACTGAGAAAAACTCGGTGCTTCCACCTTTTGGCTACTGTGAATCATGCTGCTATGAACATGGGTATACAAGTATTTCCCTGCTTTCAATTATTCTTGGCATATAAATTGCTGGATCATATGGTAAATCTATTTTTAATTTTTTGAGTAGGTGTCATGTCATTTCTTGTAGTGGCCACACCATTTCACATTCTCACCAGAAGTGCACGAGTGTTCCAATTTCCCCATGTCCTCATCAACACTTGCTATTTTCTGGTTTTTGCTAATAGCATCCTAACAGATATGAAGTGGTATCTCACTGTGGCTTTGATTTGCATTTCCTTAATGATTAGTGATGTTGAGCATCTTTCATGTGCTTATTGGCCATTTTTATGTCTTCTTCGAAGAAATGTCTGTTTAAGTCCTTTCCCAATTTTTTAATTGAGTTGTTTTTTGTTGCTGTTTTCGAATTGTAGGGGTTCTTTATGTATTCTAGATACAAATTCTTTGTCAGATGTATGATTTGCAAATATTTCCTCCCATTCTATAGGTTGCCTTTTCACTGCATTTCCATGACTGTTAATTGGGTTGAACATCTTTGTTGTCATTATTTGTCCTGTGGTTCCATTTCCTTAAAGGATAAATAGAAGAATTCTTAAAAATTTTCAAATTTATGAAAATGGTATTTTTACTATTTCTATATTCTTACAATTTGCATGTTTGTGCTCTTTGTTCATTTGGGTTTTTTGAATAGTTTTATTATTGATTTATTGAAGTTTTTATATTTTATCTCATCAAGGAGCTTGACTTTTCTGCGGTGACTTTTGATGAAGTGAGATTTAAATTTTAATGTTATTTGATAATTTTCTTTCTGTTTTTGTTTTTAAGATGGAGTCTTGCTCTGTCACCCAGGCTGGAGTGCAATGGCGCAATCTTGGCTCACTGCAACCTCTGCCTCCCAGGTTCAAGCAATTCTCGTACCTCAGCCTCTCGAGTAGCTGGGATTACAGGCATGCGCCACCATGCCCAGCTACATTTTGTATTTTTAGTAGGGATGGGGTTTCACCATGTTGGCCAGGCTGGTCTCAAACTCCTGACCTCAAGTGATTTGCCCACCACAGCCTAACAGCTTGTGGTTTGGTATCATATTTAAGAAATCCATCCCTGTTCCAGTACATAGATATTCATTCTTTCTTTTTGGTTTGTTCATTCTACTACTGTTATGGCTGGGATTGCAACACAAGGTTGAATAAAGGAGTGATAGCAGGCATTTACATGTTGTTCCATTTAAAAAGACTTAAATTTCCACCACTAAGTATAAAGTTTGCTGTAGATCTTTGATAAGTATTCTTTATCAGGTTTAAAAGTTGTCGTTTATTCATATTATGCCAGATGTTTTGACATTGTCGAACCTTTCTATTGCATCCTTTTTCTTACGTTTAACTCCTTTCTGCTCTTATATTTATTATTTCTTTTATGTCCTGTTTTGGAAACTTATAACAGATTGCTTAATTTTCTTCACTGAATTCTAGGGTCAATAATTTTCAACATCTTCCCTTGTTTTTAGTAAAGACTATAAATTTCTCTCCAAGAATGATTTTTGTTGTGCCCTAAAAATTTTGAAAAACACTTTCATTGTATTTCATCTCAAAATATTTTCTAACTTTCATTATGAAATCTTCTTTGAGCCATGACTTACTTAAATACACAGTTTTTAATGTCTGAATGTATAGAAACGTTTAGCTACCTTTGTTATTGATTTTTAACCTAATTGCATCATGTTCAAAAACATAATCTAAATTTTAATAATTCCTGAAATTGTTAAGGTTGGTTTACGCCCTAATATATGGTCAACTGTCATTAATATACCATTTGTGCTCAAGAAGAATGTCATTTTTTAATTTTGGAATGCAGGGTTTTTTAATGTATTCATTACCTGGATCAAGCTTGAAAATTACTTATATCTTTTAGATGCTACAATTTTTTGTCTACTCGACATCAGTAAATAGGAAACAAAAGATGTTAAAGTAATCCAAAATAGTGGTAGGTTTGTCAATTATTCTTATAATTTGTCAGTTTTCACTTTTTGTTTCAGCATCAATGTGCCTGTTTTAAGATTATTAATTGTATGTTATTGTTATGTAATTACACTCTTCACCTTAATGTTAACGTTTTTTGTATTAAAATCTATTTTGTCTGATATTAATAAATTCACTAGTTTTATTCTGATTAGTATTTTTCTAGTATTTCTTTTTCACATCCTTTTACTTTCAACATTTTATGCCCTCGTGTTAAAATATTCTCTTAAAAATGACATACAGCTGACTTATTTATCTATTTAATTACTTATTTATGTAGTCAATCTCTGTCTGAATAAGTAAGCTTATTTTAATTCCTGAGTTGATTGATTGAGTTTTTCTGCCAGAGTATAAGTCCCTGAGACATGGAAATCTCTGTCTGTTCACCATAGGCTTAAATAGTGCCTGACAAATAGTAAGTGCTAAATAGATCTTTGTCGATTTCTGTGTTATGTTTGGTTATTTCTGCCATATTATAGGCTTTAGTCCACATGCTTTTCCCCCCTCCTAACCTGCCTTCTCTCATATTCTTCAAGATTTCTTTTATTCATTTTTTCTTTATTTACAATAACATTAAATGTTATTGTAAACATAGACATCTTAACAAAATCGTAGTTTCATGATTATCAACTGAGCAAGATAAAGGTCATAGAATACTTTAACGAAAATCACCCCCTAATATTATACATAATATATTTTTATTCTAACCTGATATTTTCCCTGACACCATCCTTAAATTAATTATTATGGTCATAAATGTGTTTACATAATCAACATTTATCTATAATTATTATATACACATGTCTACCAATTTTTTCTCGCATTTCAGTTCTTCTGAATTTTATTTCCTTCTTTCTAAAGTGCATCCTTTGGAAGTTCCCAAAGTGAGAGTCTGTTGGAAGTATACTCCCTTCATTTCTGATTGTCTAAAATGTCTCTAATTCACCCTAGTTCTTAGATAACAGTTCAACAGGTTATAAATTTCTAATCTAAAATATTGGTGCCTTGAAGATATTATTTCACTGTCTTCTGACTTGTGTCATTGCTGTTGGGAAGTCAGATCTCATTCCTTTGTAGATAATCTTCTTTTATCTCTGATGCTTTTAAGATCATGTCTTCATTTGAAGTTCTACAGTTTAACTACAGATGTGTCCAGGAATAATTTTTTTTTCTTAACCTGCTTGGTCACTGTGTTCACAATCTAAGGGGTCAAGTCTTTCATAAATTCTGAAAAACTGCAATCCGTTTCCTTTTTAATACTTTAGTCCCTGATTCTTTCTATTCTCTCATTCAAGAATTTTAACTGGACATTTGTTACTTTTATTTATTCTACCCTCCAGATCATTGAGGCTGCTTATTAAATTGTCCATGTTCTCCATGTCTTTGTCTGCTTCATTTTGAAATTTTCTCAGATCTGCATTCTCATCCTTCCTTTAGCTCTGTCTAGATCACTCCTTAATAGATTCAAGATTTTCATTCCAGTAATTGTTTTTCCACTCCTAGAAGTTCTCTTGAGATCTTTTTTTTATGTAATTTGCTTATTTTATTTTTATTTTTATCTTTTGAGATGGAGTCTCTCTCTGTCACCCAGGCTGGAGTGCTGTGGCATGATCTCGGCTCACTGCAACCTCCGCCTCCCGGGTTCAAGCAATTCTCCTGCCTCAGCCTCCCGAGTAGCTGTGATTACAGGCACGTGCCACCACGCCCAGCTAATTTTTTGTATGCTAGTAGAGACAAGGTTTCTCCATGTTGCCCAGGCTGGTCTGTCCTGAGCTCAGACAATCCGCCTGCCTCAGCCTCCCAAAGTGCTAAGATTACAGGCATAAGCCACTGCACCCAGCCCTTTTGTTAAATTTAACATTTATTTTAAGTTCAGAGGTACATGTTCAAGTTATATAGGTAAACTTGTCTTATGGGGCCCCAGTGTGTGTTTTTCCCTTCTATGTGTCCATGTGTTTAAAATCTTTTTCAAGGCAACTTTTAAAAACCTAGTTTTATTCTTGTGATTTTTATTATATTTAGTACTTTACACACGTTTTATATTTTGTATCTAATAGTGCTATTTCTCAAGATTTCGGAAAGCTAATTCTGCTATTTGTTGTTTTGCCATCTCTGGGATATTTTCTCAAAAACCAATCAATTCTCCCATTCTCCAAAACCAACTGGATGTCCAAAGATTCAATTCAATTCTGATAACTATCCACATAGAGTTAGTGTCAGGTTCCACAAGTTGAAGGCTTCAGTATGACAAAACTGTGCCCATTTTAGATACCAGTTGCAATACTTCTGATCAACCAGCTACAAATCAGGAATTTTCACAACCCCCTCGTCATGTTCAGTAATTTGTTCGCTGAGCTCAGGAAAATGCTTGCTTGTACTGGTGTATTATAAGGGATATCACTCAGGAACAGCCAAATGGAAGAGATGCACAGAGCAAGATAGTAGGGGTGAGAGATGTGGAGCCTCCAGGCCCTCTTTGGTATGCCATTCTCCCTGCACCATGATGTGTTCACCAACCTGGTAGGTCTCCAAACCCCAACTTTTATGGGTTTTTATGGATTTTTCATTATATAGGCATCCTTGTTTAAATTATTGGTCATTGGTGATTAACTCAGTCTCCAGCATCTCTCCTCTCTCCAGAGGTGGGGGAGGCATGAAGCTGAACATTCCAAGCCTCTAATCACATAGTTGGTTTCTTTGGCAAATTGCCCTCATCCTGAAGCTATCTAAGGGCCCAGCAAGAGTCACCTCATTAGCATATACTCAGATAGGGTTGAAAGGGGCTTGTTATGAATAGCAACAGATGCTCCTATCACTCAGGAAATTTCAGTCATTTTAGAAGCTGTGTCAGGAACTGGGGACAAAGACCAAATATTATTTTAAAAGGACATTACTCTTAGCCCTTGCATTTCTATATTCTTTCAGTGTAATCGTAGTCTGTGTTAGGGCTTCACCAACAAATTTTGCTACCATAGTGCATGATGCTTCCGTGTCAAAAAATTCCATAACCTTTTCTTCACCACATTTTACCTATTCATTTGCATAAGATTTTGGGTTTGCAGCCAGGGGTCAAGCTAAGAGACTCTGGCCCTTTTGTCAATAATTATTTTGATTAGTCTGCCTGTCTATTGCCCCAAATGACTACAGACCAGGTTTCTCATTGTAATATTTGCCTTCCAGCTTTTTAAAATCCCCACACTTTTATGAACCAAACTGGGGTTCACTTGCTTGGTACATTATGACCAGATATTTACATCAAGGTTTATAGTAGGAGAAAGAAAGGCTTTATTTGCAGGGCACCAAGCAAGAAGGATCAGGCAGCTAACGCGTAAGTTCCAAACTCCCCGACGTATTGCAGGCAACAGTTTTTAAAGGCAAGGGTAAATTTTAGGAAGGCAGAAGTTATAAGCAAAATCATAATGCATGGAGAGTATACATTGGTTTTGGCCTAAAAGGGCAGGATATCTTGAAGCGGGGGCTCCCGGGTCATAAGTAGATTTAAAGACTTTTTAATTTCTAATTGGTTAACAAATAGAAGCTTTCTTTTAAAATTTGAGGTCAGCAGAAAAGAATGTTAGCTCTGGCATGTGGGTGTGACTTCCTCCAGACCCCTCAGGAAGACATTTAGAACCAAGAATCATGGTTAGAGTTCAGTCCTCAGTTCTCCTTTATCTGAGGTTTATATGCCAGGGGATCCATTTGTTGCGGGGGGGTGGGGGGGTCTGGATCTCTGAAAAACAACTCAGAGACGTATATTAAGATGTTATTTTTAGGTTTTATAGGAGAACCAAACTTTCTGTGATTCTAACTTTTTTGGCTATTGTTTTAAGCTATTACTATATTTTTGCTTATCAAGTTATTTATTTACTTTACTTTTCAGGGCTACCTAGGTGCCTGAAACTTTTTTTGAAGAAACTCAAGATATTTTTCTCATTTTCACACTTAAGGAGGCCCGCAGACTCCAAAGAGGGGGTCTCTGCTCTGTCTTAACATTGGGGTAAATAGAACTTGTTAGAGGCGCTTTATTATTGAGGGACTGGCAGAGGATCCCTTTGGTCCACCCAACCTTGTATAGTGCTGTATTAAGACTTTTGTTTCATCCTCGTCAATGTCCATCTATTTATCCCATTTCTTAATAACCATCTAAAGCTTTCCACCTGCAGAGGTGAGTCCTTTGACTCTCTCCTTCTTCCCTATTGTTTGCTCCTATCAATGTTTGCTGTATTCACCCCATTTCTTAATAACCACTTAACAATTTCCAAATCACGGGGACAAGTCCTTCGCCTCTCCCTTTTACCTCTCCTCATTCTCTTGTTAAATAATCTAATGTTTTTATAGCATCTGTAAGACCCATGAAGGGAAGCTGAGAAAGCAAATTTCATAAGAACTGTTGCTCCATTTTGCAACAGTTAAGTTACATGGGGCACCAATTTACCATAACCTGGGTAATGGGCATATTTAGTGGATAAATATCCTGCTTATTATGAAGCCAATCTTACGTGGCTTGCATATGAAACATATCAGCTGCTTCATCTGAGATTTCCCACTTGTCATTTATAGGGGGATCTGTTTACCCCCCTTCTCAGGATAAACAGATCTTATAGTCACTTTTATTTAGTTCACCAGGCTGGCTGTTCTTTCAGGAATAACTTGCTGTCTGTCTGGATGATGTATACCCGTCTGCAATGGTTCCATAGTGAGCAGTGGATCCTATATCCACCCAAACATGCCTTCCTACTCTACAAAATTGAAAAACAGTTACTTTTTTTTAAGTTAGTCATTCTTACAATGCATTTTAGTAAAGGAAGCTGATGACACTGATCTACAAAATAAAATATACCCCCTGGGTATATATATTTACACTCTACCCCCTAGTTTTAGTAGTTTCTCGGTTTTGCCCACCCCTCAATGTGGACCACCTTCTTAGTAATCAGAGATCTTAAAGGTACTCTCAGTTGTTCCTGCATAATTTCCTCCCTTGAGAGACTTTGGGTGCTAGTGACTGAAGTTCAGCTCAACTGAAATCTGTGCTTGGTTCAGCATTGAAGTTTAACCTGGAAGTCATTTTTAATTTCATTTTAGCTCTTACAGATAATAATAGCCAAGGGATTGTATATTTTATTTTTTTCTATTAGTTTGTATTACCCTATGTATTCAGCAAACCAAAAGGCTGGGAATCAGATTCACCGCTAAATTCCATTGGTAACTTTTACATTTAATAACTAACTGAAGCACAGCTGCTGCTCCATACCATGAATAACCAATCAAAGGTTCCTCCTCCCTCACCATTTCATCCTTTCTCTCCCCAAACCACATGCTTCTGTGAGTCAGGGCCATTCTAGCAAATCCCACCTCTGATACCAGTTCTGAAGTGATTTTTTTTTCTCACAATATTCTGATGTCAAATGTGTAGGGTTTTCCACATCACTATTTCTCTAGCTTTCTGACACTAACTAGGTGTTCGATATTGCAATTCAATTCTGACACTAACTACCTGGAAACCCTGTAGGTTAAAGGCTCAGTCCCATAGCACTGCCCTCCACTTTAGATACCAGTTATAATAATCCCAGCACTTTGGGAGGCTGAAGCAGGTGGATCACTTGAGGTCAGGAGTTTGAGTCCAGCCTGGCCAGTATGGTGAAACCCTATCTCTACTAAAAATACAAAAAAAATTAGCTGGCCATAGTGGCCCATGCCTGTAGTCCCAGCTACCTGGGAGGCTGAGGCAGGAGAATGGCTTGAACCCAGAAGGCAGAGGTTGCAGTAAGCCGAGATCACGCCATTGCATGCCAGTCTGGTCGACAGAGCAAGGCTCTGTCTCAAAAAAAATAAATAAATAAAAAATAAGTAAATAAATAAATAAAGTCCCAGGCCTCCTATACTTCTGACCAAGCAACTATAAATCAAGAGTTCCCATAATCCCCTTCTCAGATTTGATAATTTGCTAGACCAACTCACAAAACTCGGGACTTACCATTTAGCAACATAATAGCAACAAAATACCATAAGAGCAACAAAAACAGTGAATGCAGTAACAGCAAGTAAAGGATACAACTTAGAAACAGCCAAATGAAAGAGAAGCATGTATAGAGAAATGCATGACAGAAGAGGGAGGGTACACAGAGCTTTCATATCTTTTCTGAGAATATCACCCTCCTATAACTTCAATGTGTTCACCAACCCAGAAGTTCTCCAAGCCCTGCTGTTGAGAAGCTTTTATTGAGATTTCATTATGTAGGCATGATTGATTAAATAATTGACTATTAGTGATTAACTCAGTCTTTACTCCCTATTTCCTCCCTGGAGGTTGGTTGGTTTTTCTAGTGACCAGCCCCATCCTGAAGCTATTATAGGCCTTCCAAATGTTGCCTCATTAGAACAAAAGACACTCCTATCATCCTTATCAAATTCAGGTAATTCTAAAGGTCTTAGGAGCTTTGTGCCAGAAACTAGGAAGAAAGACCAAATATCTTTCTATGATACCACACCACCTCTCACTCATTGAAAATTGTATCTTTGTGTGTTTTTCCACTCTTATGTGTAAGATGTAAGCCATTATTCAGTGGGGCTTGATCTGTGAGAATCCTGTGCAGTCTAGGGTTATTTTGCATCCTTCCCCAGAGGATTTTCTTTTTCTTTTTCCATACCATAGAATGTTACCAATCAGAGCAGTTTATTCCTAGACATGAGAGTTCCTAAACTACCCAGGTAGCATAAACTCAAACCTTAACCCACATGCCTATAGTGAAAATTCCCAGAGGAAAAAAAAATTCTAGTCTAGGCCCCAAACAAGTCAAACAAGTTTATTCTCCCTTTGTCAATCATTCAAATTTTTATCTCTATCATTTTACTGATACCCCGATTTCACCTTAATTTAATAATGTACCATGCTGTATTATAATTGACTGTGTACTTATGTACTACAGGCACCAAATAGTAAACAACACCATGCCCTCTATTATCTTACCTTTTCCTTCTAACGTCTGACTTATATTTGTAAATTCTTGCAAGAAGAGCCTAAAAATATTTGTCAAGTAAATTAGGTAATCAAATTATTTATCAAAATTATATATCTTACTAAGCTTATTTCTAATATTTTATGTTTTTTCTATTATGGATCAAACCATTGTTTACAATATACTGCATATTTTATCATATCTACATATTTTGGGTTTTTTAATCTTACATGGTTTGTTGTTTGTGTGTTTGTTTGAGATGGGGTCTCAAACAATGGCTATTTTTGAGTGGCTATTCGCAGGTGTGCTCACAGCACATTACATCATTGAACTCCTGGCCTCAAGCAATCCTCACACCTCAACCTTCTAAGTAGGTAGGACTATTGACACGTACCACCATGTCAAGCTTTAAATCTTACACGTTTGTATTGAGTTTTATATATTTTCTTTTTTGATACCTTAGTGAACTCTTGTCTATACTAACTGATTTTCAGTTTATCCTCTTGGATTTTCTACAACCATCTATTATTAAGTAATAATACGGTGGTCTCTTTACTTCCAATGTTTATATCTCTCATTTTTATTTCAGGTCTTATTACTTTGTCCTAAAGTTCCAAAGCCGTAGATAATAATAATAGTGGTCAAAAACAGTTATTTTGTTTCTGAGGTTAACAGGAATAAAACAGATTAAAAGTTGTTTCATCACAACCAAACTAACTACTAATAGTAAAGAGTGGATAGCAATATCTAATATCTATATATCAAGGTGTCTCTTCTTTTAGATTTCCATATATAAAGAAGCATCTCATCTCAAATTCTAAGTCAAAGCCTTGCTGACTTTCAAAATTGGTATATATGTTAACTACAGGAAATTTCTGATAAGATTATTTGCTTATGAATCATGATAATTCATGAGTAATAATAATTTTGTACATAATTCTTTGTTTTTAAATTATCATTAATAATTCAGCTTATTACATGAAAAGTTATAGTACTTATAAACCAATTTCAACAAAAAGCAAGAAAGAAAGTCTCTGTTCCAGGAAAGGAAATCACTGTGCTTTTCTGTGATGATAGAAGTTTTTTAATTAAGAACATTGTGAATGACATATTCGATCCTCTTTACTTTTAGCAAATATACAGGACCTTATAAAATACATTTTGTATATTAATCTTACTTATGGCTTCATCATCTATCTCTTAATTTTTCTTTTGATCTATTTTCTTCAAACACACTACTTTACACTTTTTCTTATCTCATATGAATTTATGTAGGGCAAGTCATTACACTTCCAGAACAAAGGGAAATATAAACAAATAAACAAGTGAATAGGTTACCAGTCTGAACAGAAAGGAAAATTAAGGCTTTGAGATCACATGACTTTTATTGTGTGATGTTTAAATTAACTACCCACAAGTCATTTTCTGTGAGATGTAGAATTTAATCCAAAGTGGGAAAATAATAATTATAATTTAGGTCAAGAAAGATTATGTTAAACATTTATTATTTTTATTATACTTATAAATGTAAGTCTTGTTACCAGTGATAATATTGTAATAATGTTGTAATAATGGCATCACCAGGATGTATTCAATATTGCTACCTTTGTGCTAGCTGTAAAAAGTAATAATTCCAAATCCCCCAACTGTTATTTTTCTTAAATAAGAAAAACGTGCTTCCTAGAAATTCAACATGACAGTTTCATCTCTGTCTTACATCTCATCTATAGTAAGGATCCTATATTATTTGTAAGATATATTGAACTACTAGCTAAATCCCTGTATAAGGAATCTTTGGTTTCAAGTGGTAGGAATCACAGCTCAAACTGACTTAGTGAAGTCAGTTTTAAAGGGGCAGAACACATTGGAACACACTGATTTACATAACTTGAAGATCCACAGGTGGGACTGCTTTTAAGCATAGCTTGATCCAACCAATAGCTCACTTACTATCTCTCACCACTCTGTTTCCACAGTCAACTTGAGAATTTATTCTCAAATTCTACCTGGTGTTCCGCTAACTCTGCCATGCCCTCAAGTGCTAGCTTCTTGAATATAATAGCAACATTCTCAAATGCCATTACAGATCTCAAATCTCACTTATTACCAAGGAATAAGAGTGCCCCTTCCACACAATTCCCGGATCCCACTCTTTTGCATTGGCCCAAACTGCATCATATGCTTATGATTGAATGAATAACAGGGACCGAGGGAAATGGCATGGATTGATTGACTTGGTCAATTGGGTCTCACTTTTAGAGTAGGGGGTGATTGAGAGAATTCACCAAGGAATAAAAAGGGGAGGAGGAGAGAAATGCATGCCAGATAGCCAATTAACCAGTGATCATTCCAACTCTCATACAGTGCAAGAAGACATCAGTTTCAATGATGTGAGTCTAATAAACATTGAGAGGGAATCTTTAATGTTTGTATTTAATATCTTTAATGTTTGTATTGTCTCTAGTCTACTTTGATAAAAGTAGGATCAAGGAACTTCAGTGTAATAAAGCCCAGAATAAAGATCCAATACAGCTCATTAAACATAAAACTTTGGAATCAATAAGAATTTCAAATGAAAGAGAAATGAGCTGTGTATAAAATTCCTGTGGGATTATGTGTCTTTCTAAGTTTTTATGTGGGTTGCAAGAGAAAACTTAAATATACAAAAATTGATCTTGGAGAAGTAGACCACCAGCCTGAAGTGAAAATTAGGAATCTCGGGAATGAAAACCAATTTTTTTTCTATTTCTGTCTATAACTCTGAAATTATAATGAAGGTCAAAGGGAAATATAATTTATTGTACAATTTATTATCTATATAGTATACATATGACTTTCTCAGATATCAAATATAAAAATCAAAATATACTATCTGTTTTTAAAAGTAGAGACCATTTTATTATTTATGGGGGGGCAATAATAATAACAACTTTGCTTCAAAGTTGCCACCTTTTGCTATTTTCTTGCTGATGTGAATTTGTGGATAACTTCCAAGATAGAAGTATTAGCATTAAAAAGAGTACAAAATAAAACTCAGAACACGATTGAGAAAGAAGTAATGACAAAGTGTTGGCATTACGAAGGTACTGTAGAAACGAAAGTCTGAAACTGATCAGTAAAAAGGAGTCATATAAAACTTACATGGTCCTATCTCACACTAAACAATCAGGACCTTAAAAATGAGATTTTGCTTTAACCTAAATGTCAGAACATTTTGTTATGGACAAAGTTCAGGGAAATGACACAGACACCAGAAAAGAGAGGAGAAAATGAAACTTATAGAAAAGTAATGATAGACCCCAACAAATCTGCATCTTTCTAAAAAAGTTTTTAAATCTCTATGATTTTTCTTTTTAAGAAACTGCTTTGCAATGTTCCTTCATGATCTGTTGGCTGTGGTTATGATGAGGTGTCCAACAGAAAATACAGATAACAATAGTGTCTATGCTTAGTGCTTTATTTCCATAGAGCTTAAAATTTATTTTATGGATATTTAACTACATAACAAATACAGCTATCCCTCACATATATAGATGAGTCTGTTCATCTACAGTCTATATTTCATGTTTTTGCAGATGTTTTTCTGATGCTGCCATTGGTTGCACTAAGCCAAACTCTCCCCATTAATCCAATCTTTTGTGACTGAGTTCATATTTCCCAGAGAAAAAGCTGCAGCAAGCCAACTATAAAACTAATTTTTCCATCCAGGCAAAGCTGCTCTGTTCATTTGAGCATCTACTCTACTGAGTCACACAGTACAAATTATTTTACTTCACTCACCCTTCATAAGGTGAACAGAACCCATTTGGGGTTTAGGCAAAATGAAGAACAAAGATAAGGTGATTTTTTTTCTAAGTTTAGTAACAGAAAATAAATCATATCTCAGAAGCTCTAGATATTTTATTAGTTTTGATTTTTTGCAGTTCTATTCTTATTTGGACCATTAAAAATTCAAGATTTGGGAATGTATGTTTTCAGATTAAATTCAAATGTTGATTGAGCATCTGCTAGGTGCTTGAGGCATGAAGATAATTTAAAGATGTGGCCAGGCACAGTGGCTCACACCTGTAATCCCAGTGATTTGGGAGGCCAAGGCAGGGGCATCGCTTGAGGCCAGGAGCTCAAGACCACTTTGAGCAACATAGCAAGACCCCATCTCTACTAAAAATTAAACAAAAATATATTAACTGGGCATGGGGGCATGTACCTTTAGTCTCAACTTCTCTGGAGTCTGAGGCAGGAGGATTGCCTGAGCCCTGAAGTTCAAGGTTACAGTGAGCTATGATTGCATTACTGCACTCCAGCATAAGTGACAGAGTAAGACCCTATTTCAAAAATGAAAACCAAAAATTAAACAAAAAAGATGGGATCTTGAAGAGGATTAAGAGTTGTCAGGGTGTTAAGACATGCCCCTATGAAACAGGAGATTCACTCTGGAGTGAACATAAATGTTCCTTATGAGTTTGAGGCCGAGCACGGTGGCTCACGCCTGTAATCCCAGCACTTTGGGAGGCCCAGGTGGGTGGATCACCTGAGGTCAGGAGTTCGAGACCAGCCTGCCCAACAAGGCGAAACCCCATCTCTACTAAAAATAACAAAAATTAGCTGAGCACGGTGGCAGGCGCCTGTAATCCCAGCAACTCAGGAGGCTGAGGCAGGAGAATCGCCAGAAGGTAGAGGTTGCAGTGAGCCAAGATGGTGCCATTGCACTCCAGCCTGGGCAACAAGAGTGAAACTCCCTCTCAAAAAGGTGGCTCACGCCTGTAATCTCACCACTTTGGGAGGCCAAGGCGGGTGGATCACGAGGTCAGGAGATGGAGACCATCCTGGCTAACATAACCCCATCTCTACTAAAAATACAAATATTAGCCAGGTATGGTGGCAGGCAACTGTAGTCCCAGCTACTCGGGAGGCTGAGGCAGGAGAATGGTGTGAACCCAGGAGGTGGAGCTTGCAGGGAGCTGAGATCGCGCCACCGCACTCCAGCCTGGGCGACAGAGCGAGACTCCATCTCAAAAAAAAAAAAAAAAAAAAAAAGAGTTTGAATGGAAGATTGGAAGATACTGTAATATTCAGGAAACCCTTTATGAGCTAGATGGGACTTAGACACATCTGGAAGGACAGTGATAGACTGAATAAAGGAAAAATGGGGAGACTAGGTAGTTGTTTCTGAGTGGAAAATCACAAGCAAAAGTTCAGAGGCCAGATAAGCAAAGGCAGTGAAATCAGCAGAGCTGGTTATAAAGGTTGATACTAGAGAAAATGTAAGAATCATGGCTAGATTGTGAAGCAGATGCACACTGCTGAGAGCCTTGAATGCCAGGAAAGGAAACATCTCCAGAGTTCCTGAGGAAGGATGTGACAGTGAAAAAGGCAGGTGATGTATCAAAAATATTCATCGAGTGGTGATGTAGTGATGTATTGGCATGAAACAACACTGGTAGCAGTGAGACTGGTGGGGAAACTCTTCAATAATCCAGATGTTATGTGATGAGAAATTTGGCCAAGATAATAGCAATGATAATGCAAAGAAACAGGCTGATATGGGATGCATTGCAATGTGCAGGTTTAATTAGCTTTTGAGAGACTCACTAAATGGGGAATAAGAGGAAAGAAAAGTCAACAATGGCTTCAAATTTTTAAGCCAGAATAATTGGGTGAATAATGGCTTTCCTCATAATAGGCTGGTGAAGAAAAAGGAAAAGAGAAGTTGTAGAGATTATGAAAATCACTTTTGAGGAACATATTTGCTCTATTTTAACTAACTTTTGGAGTGATGAGCAAATAGCAATGTCCCAGTAGGTATTTGGAAATGCCATGTTGGAATTTGGTGGAAATTTCCAGCTGCGACTGTAGCTTTGATGTCCAATTTTTTGGTTAAAAATAGTAGCCACAGACAAGACTAGAGATATTCCCAAGGGTGTATGTATGAAGAGAGTATCAGTGAGCTGGGGACAGCTGTGAGGAGCACTGAATGAGAAGGCAGGAGGAGAAAGGGGAATGTGTGTGTGTGTGTCAGAGAGAGAGAGAGAGACTACTACTGAACTCCAGGAAGATGATTTTTAAGGAGAGGACAATAATACCAGAAAGTCAAGAAGCCAGAATAGCTTGAGGACTTGCAAGGTGGTCAGTTTCAGCCTTCTGGAGTACAATAAAATATTTCTGAAGAAGGGAAAACTGTTTACCTCTTTCAGTGAAAGTTTGACATCTTTTCTCTAGGGGAAAAGAAATTGAAAGATTATGTTTCTGTGAGAAATTTAATCTGCATAATCTATCTTTGATATTATTTTCTAAAGCATCCACTTTGCTAATGGTAAAAATTTGGAGCTGTTCACACATGCAAACTGATTTTTTTTTAATAATAAATTCAGTCATAGTCATATAAATTTCATCTCCAATTGGGATAAATTGTAAAGGAATGCATTAAAAGATGTGTTTCTCCCAAGTTTCTTTTGACATGACAGGAGCAAAGAAGACATTTTTTAATCAATTCTACTTTCCTACAGAAGGGTAATATAATCTGGTTAACTTTTATATCCATCAGAGGCACAGAGCTTTTCGGACACAGGTAGAGGTTTATGAGCACAAAATCGAGAACAATTAGCACTCAAATTAATGTTACATGAGATTCAACATCTGGTAAGTGTGTTGTCATTTTGGGTCATAGACCACCTGTTAGGCTAAATGTTCATACAACAGCAATTTACCCTGCATACAAATGGAAAAAGAATGATACTTGAAAAAAAATTTTTTTCTAAATTTAACCATATGTATATAGGAGCCTCCTACATTTTAAAACTTCAACTGGAAGTTAATAATGGGTCAAATACTCACAGGATGAAGCATATAGGATCAGAAGGAACAGAGAATATTTACATTTTTGCAAGCATGTTTTATAATAAATTAGCCATAGTATAGTACTGATACTCGTTTCTATTCCATCTAATCACTGCCAATAATAGTATTGCTCTCCTATCTATCTATCAAATATTTAAGGACAAGAAGAGGTAAACCATTCAAAGTCTTTATGCTATCTATCTACATAAGGGGGTCCTCAAACATCAGGCTGGTTTTGGCAATAGTGCTGCACCAGAAAATGCCAAATCTCGAGGTTACTCAGCTGCCTTTTCATACAATCCAGTTATTGGCAACTTCAGTAAAACTAGTAAGCTCTCCCCTTGCTAATATTTCAGCAAAATAGTATTCGCTTGCAAAGAGAGGCGTGTCTGTGATGATCAGCTGCAGATTTCAAAAGCAAAGAAACTTCCTGCACTTTTGAAACTGAAAAGTAGAAATCACATTTTTACCTTGTTTATAAAAATGAGCCATCCTTTTAAAAAGAGGCATTTTGTAACACAACCACCAACTAAAGAAGCATCTAAGGCTAGGTGCAGTGGCTCATGCCTATAATCCCAACACTTTGGGAGGGTGTGTTGGGCGGATCACCTGAGGTCAGGAGTTCAAGACCAGCTTGACCAACTTGGAGAAACCTCATCTCTACTAAAAATACAAAATTAGCTGGGTGTGGTGGCGCGTGCCTGTAATCCTAGCTACTCGGGAGGCTGAGGCAGGAGAATTGCTTGAACCCAGGAGGCGGAGTTTGCAGTGAGCCAAGATAGTGCCATTGCACTCCAGCCTGGGTAGACAGAGCAAGACTCCATCTCAAAAAAAAAGAAAAAAAAAGAAGAAGAAGCATCTAATACTTGCAATCTGTATGTTAAGATGCCTAAAAGTCACTCTGTTAGTTTGGGAACTCTTCAGCATTTAGTATACTTTTCTAGATAGAGAGTGTTTACTGGCATTCCTATGGCATGTTTCCCGTCGATTTTTATAACCATGACCCTAGACTGTCACAAGGATAGTTTTGAGTGGTAAGCCTTTGTACTTTGGCATCCAGCTGCCTGATTTTCAATTCTGGTCCCTATGCTCAGTGTGTGATCTTGGGCAACTTTGGAACCTCTGGAAGCTCCAGCTTTATCATCTGTAAGGTGGGCCTGATAATATGCCCTGCTTCCCACTCCATGATTGAAAAAGATAACCCTGATAATGTGTGTGGCACAGAAGAAGCGCCAGATGAATATTAGCCCTCACTAACAGTAAGGGGTGACCTTGATCCTAAGTCACCAAAGAAAAACTAACATATGTTTGGGATTAAGATGTTTTTGCTCTGTGTTTGGGTTTAAAAGGCATTTTGTGATATTTTAATTATTTCAATAATCAGCATATATTTTAACTCTCAATTTGACAGACATACACTGTTTACTTAACCAAACTGTGACAAATAACTTACTGCAGTGTTTTCCAAACAGTGTTTTGAAAAACTGAGGTTCTGTGGAGAAGCTCGAGGTGGCATCTGTGAGTAGGGTATAGAACAGAGTTCAGTAGTGAGGATGGGTAATCAGTGTGCCAGGATTCAAACAGAACATCCCTACTTTTTATTGGCTTTTAATATTGGGCTTGTCAGAAAATTTTAGTTTGGACAAAAGGTTCTGAGGCTTAAAAAGGGGAATGGTGTTAAAAAAAACACTCGTGGTGTACTATTTTATTTTTAAAAGAAGTATTACAGACAAATAGTGAAGGCTATATTTGAACAATTACCATTTGAGTTCTGAGTCTACGTTAATATTTTACCTTTAACTAAACCATCATTCAATGATATTTGGGATTTTGCCTTTCCCCCTTTCTGGCAGTGTTAAACGAAGAGGGCTTACCTCTCTGTTCATCATCCTTCGTTTGAGAAATCTATTTTAATAAACCAAAGCCTTGTTACTCAAAATGGAAATGAATTAAGTGAATCTTGCCTCCAGGTCCCCAAGAGGTTAGCCTTTGTACTTGGGCTTTCAATTCTGGTCCCTCTGTTTGCTCAATTCGTGATCTTGGGTATGTTTGTAACCTCTTCAAGCACCAGTCTTATCATCTGTAAGGTGGGCCTCTATCCCTACCCCAAAAGTAACTTAGTGCCAAGCGATCTTGAAGAAGGGTGCAGTGGCTGTGCCTGTGGTGTCTGGAGTCAGACTACCTGGTTGTGAATCTGGCTTTGCCTGCTTTGGAGCTGTGCTGTTGGGCAAGTTACTTCCCATCTGTGTCCCTCAACCTCTTATCCATAAAGTGAGGACAATAGCACCAACCTTGTGAAGTTATTATGTGGAATTCAAAGAACAGTGCACACAAAACTCTTAGAACAGGGGCAGATAGAAAATAAGTACTCAGTAAATATTAGCTCTTACAGTCATTAAGAATTGAGTCTGTTTTAGAACCATTTTCATGACACGAATTATTTCCAAGTCTAATTACAATAGTCAGTACATTTATCATTTTAAATTTCCTCCTATGGCTAGATGAAGGATGGTAACTAAATTAATTAGCTTTATATTTTAATTCTCACTTGTAATTTTTTTCCTTTTTTTTTTATAACTAACATTATTTCCTTACATCTTAAGCTAGGAAGAGAAAAATCAAATTCTCAGCTGAGCGCAGTGGCTCATGCCTGTAATCTCAGCATTTTGGGAGGCCAAGGCAGGTAGATCACCTGAGGTCAGGAGTTTGAGACTAGCCTGGCCAACATGGTGAAATCCCGTCTCTACTAAAAATACAAAAATCAGCTGGGCGCGGTGGCGGGCGCCTGTAATCCCAGCTACTCAGGAGGCTAAAGCAGGAGAATCGCTTGAACCCAGGAGGTAGAGGTTGCAGTGAGCCAAAATTGAGCCATTACATTCCAGCCTGGGCGACAAGAGCAAGACTCCATCTAAAAAAAAAGAAAAATCGAAGTCTCTTGTAAAGAGTCAAAGCAAAAAATAATAAGCCTGCAAGCTGGTCCTGAATGTCTATTATTCTGAAGACGAGGAAAGATGACCATGTGATCTAGCCATATTTTATTGTTATGCTTTGTGTATGCTTAGATTACTAAGAAAAGTGTAATGAAATATGATTTTGATATGTTATCTATTTGACCTTTTGATACACATAATATTACTTCATACCTTTCACATTTATAGTTATTATTTTTTCCAAGTACAATTCCTGAAATCTGGGGGGGAAAACCCTAAAAATATTAAAACCATAACAAAGCCTCTTAGTTCTCTTTCTGTCATATTTCAGATCTTCAAGCACTCCACATGTTGCCTCAGACAGTTGACTGGTCATCTTTTCCTCCCCAACAATATCTCTTGACTCTTGGGTTCAAAAACAAAGATGATGGAAAATTTTTGGAAAAAATATCAAGCAGGAAGCTGCCGATATTCACAGGTAAATCATCTGAACCTACAAGGTCTAGCATATAGTAGCCTGTGATGAGTTTTGGGCCCCAAAAAATGTTTGAGTTAAAATTAACTCCTTCTAATCTTCTTTGTGGGTTAGTTAACAATACCTGGAATTCTGGTTCCAGGAAATCTTTCCCCAAGAACACACACAATCCTGGAATGCCCACCCCCCTCACTCTAATCATCTAATCATCTTACCCCACCCACCGCAGTCATCAATGCCTGATCATACAGTGCTTAAAGAATACTAGTTTTCATCATTATCAATTAGCAGAGGTAGAAGAAAATTATGCAATAAAACTACTATATGAAATCAAAAATATAGCCAATGACAATCTTAAATTACTTGTATTCTCTGTTGTTGTATTAATGTCTCTTCCCCGCTTTTCTTATGTAATTAGCCAAGAGTTTAGATCTCCTGGAGAGTATTACAGTTAAATGGTGTTCAGTAATCCGAGTCGAAACTTTCAAAACTCAAGAAAATATTCACATGGAGTTGAAATCTCAAACTTATGGGCTGAATTCATGACCAGGTTAAATTTATTCCTGCAGCTCTAACCACATAATTAAGTATTTGTGTTTTGTCTGGCACTGTATCCTCTGAGGCTTATCTGAACTTTGAGCTACATTCAAAGTCAATGGATCTGCACACTTGAATAATACCTAGGAGGAACAAGACAAGAATCAGACACATTTATGACGCATTTTTTCACAACTCAGGAAAAACAGAGTCTGAAGAGATAGGTGAATTGTTATAGGCTGTCTCTTAGATCTCTCAATCAAGAAACACAACAAAATAAATAAATGATAGTGTCGAAAGGGCAGCATCTCCTCTGCCTTTCTCCCCATAGATCTTTCTTTGTTATACATATGGTCTAGGGATGGGACTAGTTTCTATACTAAAGATTTTGTATCTATTAATATTGAGATATTCGTTTATAGCTTGCTAAAGAAAATATTTTGAAATGGAAGTCTGGAGAAAATAGTATAAAAGTTTATTGTTACAATTTTTAGAGCATAAAACACCTTTCGGTCTGACCAGAGAAGATACAGTGAGGCAAATGGAGACAATGGGGAAGCGAATCTTGCCAATATTGGATTTTATTAGAAGCACCCAATTGAATGTAGGTATATGAGTCTTTTATATTTGTCCAATGTACAAATATTAGAGAATTCTAGAAGTATATAAGGCTTACATGGCAAATAGTGCAAGTGTTAGGGGATTTTGGAAACGTTCATAGTAAATCTCATTTGCAAAAACAAGCAAATTTTAGCTAATGATTTTATTTCTGTTATTCTAAAACATACTATAATGCTACACTTTGCAATTTCAAGCACTTATTAGGATAGTGTCTCTTTAAAGAACCTTTTCTTTATGCCTTCCTAATATCTAATTCAACATTGCAGTGAATTTCTCATTTCAAATCAATAAGAAAATTTTAGCAAGCACAATGTTTTCTCTATTTCACTTATTGAGCTATTGCATATAACCATCTCATTACCTACACAAGAATTCAGACCTTTTCAAGATAGTGCCTTCATACCACACTGATGAATTGGATGCTTCTCTAAACATTGGCAATTGATCTTTATATAGCCATAAGGTAAATTATCTAATCTCTTTCTATGATCCAGGAAAAATATGCCTTTTCTACTTTTCAGTCTTAAAGAGCCCAAAATAAGACCTGAATTACACTGCTATTTTACAAAATTTAAGCCATTGTACTGAAAGTATATAAAGAGAACTTCTCATTAATAGGCTATAAAGGCTGCAGATTTCTCCTTTTTTAATATTTTTCAAAAGGCTTGTAAGTTGGAAATTTTAAAGAATTTCCTTCCTGTTCCCTCTTTTGTGTTACATCATTGATTTGATGTTCTTACCTTAAAAGGGGAGCTAAGAGGGTCATCACAAACAGCTACTTAACATCTGTTCAGCAGTTTATCTGCTCAATAACATTATTCAGCATTTTGGAAAAGCTAAAAAACACCTAATCTGTTTGCACGATTTGCGATTCCATGTATTACAAATACAAAAACACATTTTCACTGATGTTCCTACCACAAAGCTACCCCTTCCCCACAACCATGTTTCAATTATCTCCTCTATATTTCTATTAATAAGAAATCCATCTCTACCTTAGTCAGCTCAGGCTGCCATAACAAAACACCAACCTAAAGACCCACACACATCATTACCCTCATCATCAGGCCCATGCAAGCAGGGAAAGCTTTGCTAACCAGAACCATCACCGTGTAGCATTATTTCATCTCATCCGTGCATGGCTAGCCTAGCAGAGCCAGTGTATCGGGTGCTGTGGATGTGATCTGCCTGTGGCCTAGCTCTTTGTTTTTTAGTTTTTAGTTTTTTGGGTTTTGGGGTTTTTTGTTTGTTTTTTGTTTTTTGTTTTTTGAGGCAGAGTCTCACCCTGTCACCCGGGTTGGAGTGCAGTGGTGCGGTCTTGGCTCATTGCAACCTCCACCTCCAGGGTTCAAATGATTCTCCTGCCTCAGCCTCCAGAGTAGCCGGGATTACAGCATGTGCCACCATGCCTAGCTAATTTTTTTGTATTTTTAGTAGAGACAGGGTTTTGCCATGTTGGCCCGGCTGGTCTTGAACTCCTGGCCTCAAGTGATCCACCTGCCTTGGCCTCACAAAGTGCTGAGATTACAGGCATAAGCTACCATGCCTGGCCAGGCCTGGCTCTTTGAAGCAATGCCTGCCTTACCTTGTCACTTGTCAGGAAACTGACCACATCATCTGTTGCCAGCTCCGATTTCACAATGTGAACATAGGTTGGGCCTTACTGGGCATTATGCACTTTTTCAGTGTTCTTAACTCATTTTCTTATCACCTTTTAAAGAGTATTCTGGCCATTTGGAAATTTGTTTAGACATGAATCTTTTATGTGACTATAAAGGAGACTTTAAAACCATAATTAATGAGATTCTTAACATCTAATTAATAACTCAGTCTTCTCATATTGAGTCTCAGTACCACTTTGCTGTCTGCAAGGAATTTCATCAACTTTCCTATGTTTGCTTTTAAGGGAAATAACAGTTTTTGGAAGATTGTTTCAAAGAGTTTTAATGAAATTGAAGTAGGTAAGCCTGAAAGTGCCCAGGGATCACAAATATATCTAAATATCAGGTACTAGGTTTCTTATTATTTGCTCAGCCACAGCTTCATAAGGGAGGACTGATAAAATTGGCTGCAAAGGTAAACTAGCTTAATGAAGCAAATAATGAATTGGTGACTAGAAATTATTCCTACACGGTACCATTGACTGTAACCCAAGGAGCCCTCTGTAGTGTTTTTAAGACCCTTCAAGGTGTTCTTTCTTTCTTGTCAGATACCAAATGACATTCACTTGAATATTTAGGCATTGAATTGTCATTATTTGTTACCCTAATTTGTGATACGTGTAGACAAAGACTTTTGCCCAAGGCCATGCTCTGGCCAAGTAACCCTAGGGCAAGTCACTTAACCTCTGAACTATTTTTTTCTCATTTATAAAATAGGCTGATAACTGCCAGGCCCACTTCACAGAGTTGTTGTGAACCATAAATACATAATCCATGTTCTTGAAGCACTTTGTAAAGTATTAAGAATTTTAGTTTTAATTATTTGTATTGGTTTTGGTTTGCTTTGACAAAGAGACTGTTTTACAGACCTTCTTTTTTTCTTTATCCAAGCTGTGTAGTTTGAAATTACCTATTTTTCTTCTAATATGAAGATTCCACTCGTGTTCTGTGAATTTTGATTTTTTTTTTCCTTAGCTTACTTTCCTTTGATCAGTGATTTGCTCAGATCCCTTCACTCAGGCAGGATTTGAGATGCCATTTCCAGCCATGAACTGGACTCAGGACTGCAGTCTTGTTGACAGCAGGCTGTGACCATGCTCGTGTGACAAGCAGCCTCACATGTCTTGGTAGAACAGAGCCAATATCAAAGACACTTCCATTAGAAGACAGTGAGTGACCAGTGTCTTGTGCAACACATTTATCTTAAAGAATTTTAGATTTTTCAGTCATCCTTAATACTAGTGGCTAAGGCTTTAGTTTACATTTCTGTTGTCTGTTTCAAACAGACAACTCTTTACCCTAGTAGAATGTCACATTTTCATCAAGGCCTAATGGCTAGGAAAAAATTGCCTGTAATCCCAGCACTTAGGGAGGCAGAAGTGGAAGGACAGCTTGAGCCCAGAAATTCAAGACCTGCCTGGACAACGTAGTGAGACTCCATTCTACCCAAAATGGAAAAAAAAAAAAAAAGACAAAAACAAAAAAAGTGGAACTAATGGCTAGGAAATATACTTTGCCTCATACCATATATGTTCAGAGATGTTTAATTCATTTGGACAAAGTTATTTAATGAAAATGGGCTTGGAATATGAAAATGCAATGCATTAAAACTTCAGCATTCATAACAGCAGGAGACCCAAAAGATGATACTAGTCCTTGACATAATACCATGACCAGAATCAGTTACACAATGTTTTATTATCACATTTATACTGTCACATAAATAATGATAAATATGTAGATTTCTAAACAATACTTAAACAATGCCAAGAATTCTCATGATCTGTTCCCTAAACATATTGAATATTTAGTCACTTTGTAAATATTAGGTTTATAATACCTACCTAATATCTAATTAGAAAAAAGTTAACTTGGCAATAATACACTAAATTATAATATCATAGGGAATATTTTTTGGCTGCCCTAATTTTCAATTTTTCTCCATTAAACTAAAAGATACATATGTTTGTTCTCCACAAATTACATATAAAGAGATAGTATAGCAACTTACTCTCAACCAAAGCATTTTAAATATAAAGTGAGTAAAATTTTCTTCTAAAGCTAACAAAACACTCTTGCTTCCAAACCCTTGAAATATTTGATAGTCAAGAAGTTTTCTTTACTCAAACATATCTTTTTTAAAGTACAGAGCAGTCCTGGTCATTAACTAGGTGCTGACTGCATGCAGAAATTTCTACTTTGGAACTATGGTTTAGGAGAAGCACATGCATAGTGCTCTGCAATTTAAAAAGCATTTTTCCCTCACATTCTCTAATTTGACCCTCACAATTTGGTGACATTGTGTCACCTTCATTTTACCAATGAGGAAACTGTGGCTCAGAGTAGTGATATATTCAAGTTCACACAGCTAGGGCTCAAAATCAGAGCTTCAGAATATTGTGCCAATATTCTTTTACTAAATCATATTACATCTCTTTGATTTAAAGTTATGATCCTTGCCAGAGGCAAAACATGCATAACACACAACATAGGAATGATTCCATAGCTGGATTCAATTTTTAAAAAATGAACATATAGGCTGGGCGCAGTGGTTCACGCCTGTAATCCCAGCACTTTGGGAGGCCGAGGTGGGTGGATCACTTGAGGCCAGGAGTTTGAGACCAGCCTGACCAACATGGTGAGACTCTGTCTCTATTAAAAACACACACACAAACACACAAAAAAATAGTCAGATGTGGTGGCGCATGCCTGTAGTCCCAGCTATTCAGGAGGCTGAAGCAAGAGAATTGCTTGAACCTGGGAGGCAGAGTCTGCAGTGGGCCGAGATCACACCACTGCACTCCAGCCTGTGCAACAGAGCAAGACTCTGCCTCAAAAAAAAAAAATAAAGAATTAAAAAAAATTAAAATGAACATATAATGTACAAATTACACTCCAAAAATTAACTGTAAAAAGCTTGCTAAAGAACATGAATTTTCAACTCTTGCTATGAGGTGGTGAATACAGTCGGTAAATACGTTTCCTGGTCTCAGAGAGGTTTCTATGTGTCAGACAATGATTCTCTTTACACTTCTGACCCTGGTTTCCTTATCTTTGTAGATTAGTCTACTAGGTACACAATACATGGCCAAACAAGGATGATTCTAGCATTTTAAGAGTTATAATCTACAATATGATACAACCTTGCTGGTGACTTCTAATCCTACTGAACCTCAACCCCATTCAGCCAGCAGCCCTGCTGCTATGGTATTTTTCATTTTCTGGATTTCTGTCCTAATTATTTCACATGCTACTGGATGGCACTATACTTTTCCATTCATTAACTTTATTGGCTGCTGTCAGTTTCAAACCTTATGTACTGTGCTTTCTGGGCTAAATGTTAAAGAGTTAAAATAATCAAATCTCTTGCCATGCATGAAGCCGCCTTCACAGGATGACTTGCCAAAAAATGACCTAACTAACCATGTTTTTAATACTTCATTAATTTTACTTTTAATTTCTTCCAAGTGAAGCATAAAAAATGTTTACATATGCACATTTGAAATGAACAATAATAAGTGTTTCCTACCCCTTTTTTGCAATGAATGTTTCTGTATCTTATGCCAAATGGAAATACATTCCAAAGACTTGGACTCCGCTTTTCAGCAGTATAATATAGTGCCACTTATTTGCCAAATATTTATTTGTAACTGCTATTAAATCTTGACAGTTCTCTGACTGAAACCTTCACTTGAACTTGCTATCACCTAGCCCTCATTGTACCTGTGTGAGGTTTTAGCTTCAGTCGTGGCCACTTTATTACACTCTCTCCAGCAGCTAAGGAGCCCTTTGATCATTCCTGAAGTCTCACTGGGAGGGCTACCTGCCTTTAGATTTAGTCTTTGTTAGCATTAGATATTTAAGCTAATTCCTATTTTTTATTATTTTCTTTATTTCCTTAAAGCAACAGCATTAAAACATTTCTGCCACACTAGATATCAATTTTATTTCTTTTTCACTTTGTCTTTCAAAAACCCCTATCTTGGATAGGTAAAATATTAATCTACAGTTTCCTGATAACCAAAACTGCATTTGGCTTCGGGGGGAGGAGGGGTGACTATTAGCAGTCAACTGTATTCTTTCCCTGTTATCTTATTCAAATAGAGCACTTCCTGTTTTGTTATGCATCCAACAATCAGGCTAAAACTGTTGCCTTCCACTATGTTTATTTTCCTGACGTTTTGGAAAATTACACTGACAGATTATGTTCCTGAGCAGCCTGCAGTTGTTTCTGCTCTTTAGGGTTGAGTCACTACACCACTTTCCTACAACTAGCCCCATTGTTTATTTTAAAGAAGGACAAAGAAAGCAATTTTTCTTCAGAATGAAAACCGTTTCTCCTCCAACTTGCTTTCCTCTATTTGACAGAATGCCATTGTTTAGCTACATGTTTAAACTGATGGGTAGGCTAGGTTTTTCATCAATTCAGGAAGGAACCCCATATCTACCATTTGCAATCATCAATCTTATAGATTTATAGATTTTCAGATAAATGATTAATCAGAAAGAACAAATTAGTGTGAGTAAGAAGACATTCACTGAACAGCATATGTAGGTGTTAGGGACAAATAAAGCAGATACAGCACGATGGTGCCAGCCTTTCTTTATTTCCAAGATTCTAGAGAAAATGTCAGCTTCCAGAGGTTGCTGTCAGTCAGAATACGAGTGTGGCCTTTCAAAAAGAAGTGCATTCTAATTTTAAGTTGAAGTTCAGTAATATTAGTTTCTAGCAGTTTTTCTCCTTAGAGGAGATTCTCTTAAGAAAGTGAAATTATATGTCTGCCTTCTCTAATTTCTAGAAGAAATTCTGTTTCATAAGTATGCGCAAACCAAAATAGTCTTTACTCAGATACTAAGCTTTAAGGTGGTGGTTTGTCTCAAACTTCTGTTTGAGATATTTGAATATTTGGGGAGGCACCTAGCTGAAATTTGTATTTCTAGGGCCACATAACAAGAGATTGTGATTGGGTGAAGCCCAATATTCAGTTTGCTAACTGCCAAGTCCACAAGCGAGCATAGTGATTCTGGTGTAGGCAGTCCAGGGGGCCCCTGCTCTAAAGGGGCACTTGGTCACTTCTCTTCTGAGCACCAGGATGTAAAATGCAATTGCCAAACTAAGTCCTCTTTTGAATTCCCATTTCTCATCACCCTCTAAATGCAGCAGAAACTCAAGGCTTTTATGTTAACCCTTATATACCCCCAAATCAAAAGTACTTTTTCTTAAAGATAAACTTAAGAATTTCATGACTAACGTTGCCTCTCCTATCAAGCATTACAATTTGTATTAAACATTTTTATAGAAGATAATGTCTCCTCTTTTGTGGATGGCAGTAACAGGCACCTTGGTGGGCCACTTTTTTCTAAATGCGCCCCATCTTAACAAAGCCCAAAATGCCATGGGAGTTGGCAGTCCTTACAAAGGCACACAGTAGTCTGTGTCCAGATGGAACATGTTAGTTGTTGAAATGGTCCCAGTAGACAGAGGGAAGCTAGTCAAAAAGAAAAGGAGACTGTGCAAGGCTATCCAATAAGAACTGGAAATAAAAGCAGAGCTTAGAGGTTTCATGTAAGCTATTGGGGTAAACAGAATTCAACTTATACAACGTTTGTCAAGATTCAACTTGCATTAAAAAATTTTCTTTCAGATAAACAAGATAGTAGGCAACTCTTACCTTTTATGATGCTTTGGTGATATAGATAAAGTCGCCCCTTCTAGGCAGACACAGCTCTGTGGGATCACTCCTGGGTGAGTGAAGTGCAGATTCAAATTTAGTCCCCTCTTTTCCCCTCAGCCTAGCTCCCTAATGCAAGACAATCAGCAAATCCGTCTCAACAGTTCTCCAAAGGACTCCCTTTTATGTATATTTACCTACTAGAAAAAGAGGTATAAGACAATTCTGTAAAATGGTAGAAGGAAACATGTATTTGTACTAGATTCCGTTATTTCAAAAGATGTAAATACGTTATCACAAGCCCTGACTTCCAGCCCTGGGGAGAGGTCTATTTCCGTGGTTTTGTTCTAAAACATTTCTTTTACTTTGAGACTAGGGGAGTTTTCCTGCATCCTCAGGTGTGATGGAGAAGTTGCAATATGCCAGCCTCCTCAGCCAGCTGCAGAGAGTAAAGGAGCAGTCCCAGGTGATTAATCAAGCAATGGCAGAGCTAGCAACCATTCCCTACCTACAGGACATCAGTCAACAGGAGGCAGAATTGGTAAGTATTTTTCTTTGTTTAAGGGTTTCATAGGCCCAGAGCCAACAGAAAAGTGATATGGTCTGGGGAAAAAAAAAAAAAAAAATCCTGTGGTAATAAATGTAGCCTGAGGGCAAACTCCCAAACCTTCTTGAAGCATTCTAATGGCAAAACTGAAAAATGTAGGAAGGTGTGTGTCTGGTTTTTATTTGCTCACATTAACTAGCTTCCATTATTACAGCAAAAACGTTGTGATGTGTAAAAACATAGAAAGAGGCTGGTTATTTATATCATGTGTCAGGCTTCTGGTTTTTGGTAAAATGAGATTGTTTAATAAACTCCAAGATATATTGATATATGATTCTCTTTTATGAAAAAGTGAGAGGACAAAAGAGTAATTGCTGTATAGAAAAATGACCCTAGAAAATCATCTTTAGAGTTTTCTTAATCACTTCTAGGGTTAAAATAGATATTGGCAGTGCCAACACTAGTACACTTAGATAAATCAACAAAAGCTGTTTATTTGAAGGGAAAACATAGCTAGTCAAAATAGATGGGGTTTTTTTAGCTGAACTGATGAGTTTATTCAGAAAACCAGACACTTTAGCCACACACAGACCCAGGCAAAAACTAGTTGAAGGGATTCTCACAGAAATAATCTTCAGACAGATGTGCATATTATAACCATAATTAATATTAGAAATGATAGCACCTCATTTGAAAAACAGTTTACTAAACAGTGTGCTGCCTGTTCAAGGAAAGGTAAAATTTACTCTATATGAAGCTCCTAGTGTGTTGTAGGGAAAGGCCCTTTACTTAGAAGCTTTAATTGAGAGCAGCTAAAACTAATTATAGCCCTGAATTGAATTCACATAGTAATGATGAGAACAGCCCAAACTGATTACCTGTAATTTTCAGATGACTAAAGAAACCCTCCCCCTTTGAGCTTTTTAAGATTTACTCAAGAAATGAGCTGCCAACATTTATAATGTTCATCTAAACCTGCTAAAAGCATGTTAAATAAATACTGATATTCAGAGTAAGCACAGGAAGTTGTATGACTAGCCAAATAATAAAACTATGCATACTAAAGATGAAAACTATGAAATAAGTCTATGAATCAAGGAATTACCAAGTCAAAACTGGCAATAATACTTTCTAAACTTTATGGTTGTGTGCAAAAGAACACCTTCTAAAAGGTTAAATGTTTATCCTGCCATTCATAAGGCACTCAGAAGTATAGTAAGTATGGAGCTTTCAAAGTGCATATTGTAGCCTATTTTAGATGATTAATGCTCCTCTGAGATAAGAGGAAGCAAAGAAAATGTTAATTTAAGAAGCCGGCAAAATGTTGATCCTGTCTTCCTGAAAAGCACATTCAAGATTTAAATGAAAAATACAGGGGAATTCTCTGCACTTAAGTCTTCTTAATCACACATCTATATTTTTTTTTTTACTGGAAATACTTATTTTTCAAAATATATACAAAGAGCCTCAAACTAGCATTATTGACATTCCTTTCTAAAGTGTAATTTTTCTCTATTTGAAACCCTATAAAATGAAATTTCATTGGATATTTTTGTACTTATATACCCAGCAGAAAAATATTTAAATATATGTGGATGTATATCTGTATGCCAAGCATTTAAACATTATATATCTTATAAGGTTTGATGACCTTCAATAATAGATTTTACTTTGCAACTTACAAGTGTGGGTTAACCTAGAGAATTAATCCTAGTAATACCCTGTATGCTGCTATCTAAACAGTGATTGCTTAATAGAAGATTTTGAGTGACTCAATTATCTCTCCTCCTGCTTTCACGCTGCAATATCTAAACCAAAGAAAGATTATCTAAGGTCCATTACTGTTTGATGTCATAGTGAACTGAACTGGTATTTTTTAAGAACTTTTTTTAACCTTTGAATAGCACATGGCTTGATGTAACTTCATTTCACTTTCGTGGTCAAATACACACCATGTGTACAGGATACTTTCACATTAGAGTACAGCAGGTGCCTGTTTGGGGCAAAGGTTAGAATGTTTAAAACTTGCCTTCGAATGGGACCTAAAAATAAAAAAAACTTGGCTATTTTAAAATTTTAACAAAGAAAAAAACAGTAAAAGAAGTTAAATGAGCTAGATTCTTTAAGAGGCAATAAAACAGCATAATTGTAGTATTGTCCTCTGGTGAGCTTTTGCTTGATGCCTAGAATTATGATACATTAGCCTCAGGAGAAAACGCTAAAATGCCTTCATGTACTACATGCCATTTCCTGAGAGAATTAACTACTGCCTTCATTCTTTACAACCCCAATCTGTTTTTCACAAAACATCAACACTTACTACATTAAAACCTATATGTTTTTTACAAATTTTCGAGAAGAATCTTTTCATTGTTTCAGTATTTTATATCTGCAATAATATTCGGCAATGACAAGCAAAGATGAGGTGGCAATATTCATTGTAGGAAAGATGAGTAATAAAATCATCAGCGTACAAATGATTTTTTAATTAGGTTTTAATCTGTGTATTTAGAGAAGTTATTTCTGTGTGAATTCCACACTGATAATTTTTATCTTGGTGCCACAGCTGCAGTCACTAATGGCAGATGCTATGGACACCCTTGAAGGAAGAAGAAACAATAATGAACGTGTGTGGAATATGATCCAAAAGGTAAAACTTTGAGCTGAAGGAAAAAGATCTATTATTCTCAAAGAAAATGTCCATTTTGGGTCAAATCTGTTTGGAGGATAAAAAGAAACCCAAGTTCTTTGGTTTGTTTTTTTGTTTTCCTTTTTTAATTAAATGCAGCTCTCTCCCTGGAAGTGTGACCAAAATCAAATATGGATTTATTTAATCTGCTTCTTTTCCAACAGGCTGTGTTCATATGCTTTCGTGATTTTTCTTCATTATCATGCTCATTTTCATATTCTATTTTCATTATCTGCGCCTTCGTTCTCGGTTTTATAATTCTTTAAAGCCCTTTCATCAGTGTTTTAGTCCACTCCTCAACTATATTTCCACTTTTTTCACTTGAGGAATAATGACTACATTTCAGGGAACTACAAAGAAACTAGCACATTGATGTTTTTAGTAAAGAACTAACATACTAATTGTTAGAAATAGAGGAACATCCCATCATTGGCTACTGGGGTTTAAATGCAGGAAGTGCCGAGATGCACCTGGACCCAAGTACTCAGGAGACTTGTGTGACACAACAGGACCCTCTGAAAATGTGAAAGTTAGTAATCTTGGTTCTCCAGTCAAACTCAAAGTATTAAGTTCTGATCAATCAACTCCCCATTCATCTTCCTCCCATCACTGTAAGAACCCACCAGGGGAGACTGGCATCAGGAGATGTGAAACAAACAAAAGAACCTTCAGTTTAAAAGCCAACCCTAAGGGATTCTGGAGCACCTGAGGAAACACGTGTCTTTTGTAATGAACTCAGAGGCCCTGTGATATACAGTTGACCCTTGAACAACGTGGTGGTTAGGAGCACAGTCAAAAATCTACAATTAGCTTTTGGCTCCCTAAAAACTTAACTACCAATAGCCTACTATTGACTGAAAGCCTTATGGTAACATAAAGCGTTGATTCACACGTATTGTATATATGTATTATATACTGTATTCTTACAATAATGTAAGCTAGAAAAAAGAAAATGTTATTAAGACAATCATAATGAAGAGAAAATATATTTACTATTCATTCAGTGGAAGTGAAGGTCTTCACCCTTGTTGTCTTCATGTCGAATTGGCTGAGGAGGTGATTGGTCTTGCTGTCTCAGTGGTGGCAAAAGCAGAAGAAAATATGCCTATAAATGGACCTACACATTTCAAACCCATGTTGCTCAAGAGTCCACTGTATGTACAAAAAAACCCAGAAACTGACTGTCAGCAAATATGTGTTGAATACATATCTACCATGCCAGAAAAAATAGTTAGATATTGGAAATATTGTGCTCAGCAAGACAGGCACAGCTCTTGCCTGTATGGTCCTTATGATCTACAAAGCTACTTATGGGCTAACTGAATATTGCAAAATAAAGGGGATGTTCAATGATCTATGGAAACAAATGGCAGAATAGCCTTGTCTGGGAGGTCAGAAACACTGCCTCTAAGAAAATGATATTTATACAGCATTTAAAGAATGTGTAGTGGTTTTCCAGGTAAAAGGGGATATTTCTAAACAGAGGGACCACTTCGTACTGAAGTGTTTTTTAAAAAAGCATGGCACATTCAAAAACTAACCAGAACGTACAGAAGATATTTCAAAATGAAGTGCAGAGGCAGGAGAAATTACAGAAGGACTTATAAATTAGGTTTGGAATGTTTTAGAGTATATTTAACTAGAAAATGTTTTTAAGACATCTTTAGGGCTGTGGTGGGGAGAAGAGATTGAGGGGCTACAGAAATGTGGGGAAGTCAGTTATAAAGTAGGGATCATCATCCAGGTGAGATATGCTGGTGTCTTGGTTTAGGGTTGTGGGCACAGAGAAGAAGAGAAAGCAGACGGACCTAAGAAATATTCAGGAAGCCACATCTATAGGCCTTGTTCAACTGATGGGATCTGGGAGTTGAGAGAAAAGAAAAGGTTAAGAATGATGCCTAGATACTTGCTTGAGCAATTGAGCAGGGAATAGGGAAAGGTTTGCTGGTGCCACTTACTAAAGAAGAAGACACTCTCATAGGAGCAGCTTTTGGCCAAGAATATAAATGCCTTTAGAATTCAGTTGGGAGAAAGAAACCATGCCAGATATATGAATGGAAATTTAATATAAAGAATGGTTAAGTAACTTATGAAGTTGTTAATTAGGTAACTGAAGAAGCAAAGGAGAACAGTAAGTTGTCACAAAGAAAACCATTAAAGAAAGCAACCACCATGTCTTCGGGCTGGGGAATCAAAGAGAAGTTGGAATGGCCAAAACTTAGAAACTTGGAGCAGGGACCCTACTAAGCCAAAACTCAGACTCCCCACTAGAAGGTGCTGCTCAGCTGGTACTGGTGTCCCTGAGGTTAGAGTCCTGAAGGGCTGGGACCCAAACCTCCAAGAAGGGGCCACTGACCCACCGGTGCTATGGGAAGTGATGGGGAGGCGGGTAGTAATGGATGTAGTTTGCAACTTTTGGAAAAACTAAATTTGGCTGCTACTACAGAAAAGAAAGTATGTTTCTGATTGAAGGTTTGTTGAAGAGATACTCCCAGGAACCCTAAAGCAGACAGAAGTAAACAAGAAGCAAAGAAGAAGCAAGTCCCTTCTTTCTCCTTCTAATGCCCTCTGATGACAGAATCTAACAGTTGGCAAAAAAGAAATGGAATTGCAGAGTCCCAGCCATATTTATCACAGAGCTGAGTATAAAAGAGCGGATTTGGAGTTGCAAGGCTATAGGTTAACAACTGGCACGAAAGTGCACCTATGTTCACATAGGGTGCTGGCAAGACATCCAACAGGAAATACAAAAGCCTGGGGTTCCGGATAAAAGACTGAATAAAGATAGATATTTCTTAGTCATTGGCAAATTGTCATTAGCTGAAATCATGGCTTAGAAAGAGTATAATAGAGTAAGGAGAGAAGAGGGCCTTGAGGAGCACATTTCAAACTTAGGCGGAGAAGCCCATGACAGAGACTAAGAAGGACTGGCAAGAGGAATTAGAGATAGAGCAGCCAAACGTGGTCCTCATGAGACTCAAGCAATATAATCACATATCTCTGTTGGCTATAGAAATAGTTGTTTAGAACAAGGGTCAACAAACTACAGTCTGCAGGTCAAATCTAGTATGTTATCTATTTTTGTCAATAAAGTTGATTTCACACAGCCATGCCATTTATTTACATATTATCTAAGTCAACTTGACTGAGTTAAGTAGTAGCCACAAGAACCATAATAGCTCACAAAGCCTAAAATATTTACTATCTAGCACCATCAGAAAACATTTGCTGGCCGGGCGCAGTGGCTCACGCCTGTAACCCCAGCACTTTGGAAGGCCAAGGCGGGCGGATCACGAGGTCAGGAGTTTAAGACCAGCCTGGCCAACATGGTGAAACCCCATCTCTACTAAAAATACAAAAATTAGCCAGGTGTGTTGGCACATGCCTGTAATCCCAGCTACTCAGGAGGCTGAGGCAGCAGAATAGCTTGAACCCAGGAGGCAGAGGTTGCAGTGAGCCAAGATCGCACCACTGCACTCCAGCCTGGGCGACAGAGTGAGACTCTGTCTCAAAAAAAAAAAAAAAAAAAGCATTTGCTGTACTCTGGTGTAGAGCATTACCTCTCCCAAAAAAATTGCATTTGTACAGTAAATATTTGTATTTACAAATCCAAACGGTAACAGAACAATAATCCAATTATTAACTTCTAGGGACCAGCTAAAAAGATACAATAAGGATTGACATGATATCTGTCTATATCATGTAAACAACAACTAATTTCATCTCACTTAAAAGATCTTTGATACCCATGTTCATAGGAGCACATCCTATGATGGATTTGCCACTATTTTGCGACATTACAGTTGTTATCTATTGCTGCGTTACAAACCAAACCACTCCAAATGTAGCAGTTTAAAACAACAATTCAAAATTATCTCACAGTTAGTTCTTTGAGTTGACCAAACTCCTGTAGGTGGCTCTTACTCAATGCATCTCATGCAGTTTAGTCAAATGGCTTCCATGCATGGGGCTGGAGTCATCTGAAGGCTAAAATGGACTGAAATCCAAGATGGTTCACTCACGTGGCTTACAGTTGACACTAATCACTGAGGTAGTTGACTGGAGTACCTAACCGTGGCCTCTCTATGTGAATTGGGCTTTAAACAGCGTGGCAAAATAGTGGCAAATCCATCACAGAATGTGCTCCTATGAACTGGGTGTCAAGAAGGGGAGTATTTTAAGAGAAAGGAAGTAGAAACCATCAATCCTCTTAAAGGGTAAGCCTAGAACTTGCACAGCAAATCCCACCACATTCCACTCATCAAAGCAGTCACAGGCCAGCTTAGGTTCCAAGAGTTGGAAGAATCAATCCACCTCCTCTCAATGAAGGATTAATATTTGTATTCAATGAGAGAATAAAATGATGGCACCATCTTGGTAACAATGTAGAGTAGCAGGACTGTGGTTGTGTGTCCCAGGCTAGAAATCATACATTCAAGCAAGCAGGAGGATAGTAAAGTCAAGGCCTCCAAGGCTGAAACACAGTACAGCCACTCTACCCAACCACTGGGTATCTAGAAAGGCTCACTGGTGAGCAGCCAATCTTTCCAAATTAAAAGTCCTGATAATGATCATCACTTTCTAAATGAGAGGTCTTGAGGAAGATGTGAATGGGAAGGAACAGGGTGCCAAATTTTTCCCAAGGGCTTTTAATTTGGTTAATGTGACTCTACAAAAGATGATTGTATCACTTTCAGACAATTCCGGTAGCAAGTAAGTAATTTCCTTTTACTGCTACAGAGTTAATTTGCGTGTGCAGAAAAAAAAATAATTAAAAAAAAAAACCTAATTGTACAAGCTACACTGTGTTCTGAGCCCAGTAGAAGTTGATATCAGCATCACCACCTCTGAGATCTGTTATCTGTAATAGAAACAGCTGTTGTAACTAATGAAAACACTTGAAATTTTCATCTGAAGCAGCAGAATTATAGCAGAACCTCCTAGTTCCACATAGTTAAAGGGTCTGTCAGAATCCCCATTACCTAACACAATTTTCAGGGCTCTACTTTGCTATAGGTCTATAAAAAGCCGATCAAGATGAAATCTGATTCATGAAAGCTGACCTCCTGTCTACATTTTGTTTTCTTTGAAGTTTCTCTCAGAGCCCAGAAAGAGACAGAATGAAACAAATGTATTTTCTCTTGATTCACCAGAATGGAAATATATTCTTTACAGAGTTTTCAGAAAGTGGTTGTGGTTTTGGTTTGGCTTTGCAGAGTATTTCCTAACAATTAACTCAAGAAAGATAGATGTCTGTAGGTTTAGCTATGCAAATACAAAATGACCAGGTTATGATTTTTTTTTAAAAAAAGGTAAATTTTTATGTGTTGGAAAGTCCGCTGCCACAGCATATTTAATTAAGGATAGAACATTTGCTTAGTTTTATTATATGACTAAAACACCTGAGGAAACATACTCTTTTGAACATCCCACAAATCCTGTTGACACATTGCTCATTTATGCACTCATCACACATTTACTGGATACCTCCTCTGTGTCAGTCATCATTCTAGACACTGGAGAAACAGCCATGAACAAGCAGTGCCCTCATAATGTCTGCACTCTACTGAAGTAGGCAAACACTACCTAAAGAAATACAGGATATGTTATAAAGTAGTGAATGCCCCATGGGGGAGAAAGCGCAATAGGAAAATGGAAAGTGCCAGAGGAGGGAGCATATCATGCAAATATCTGGTGAAAAGCATCCCAAGTAAAGAAAATAGCACATGTAAAACCTGAGACTGGGCTGGGCACGGTGGCTCACGTCTGTAATACCAACACTTTGGGAGGCCGAGGTGGGCAGATCACCTGAGGTCAGGAGTTTGAGACCAGCCTGGCTAACATGGTGAAACCCCGTTTCTACTAAAAATACAAAAAAATTAGCTGGGCATGGTGGCACGCACCTGTAATCCCAGCTACTCAAGAGGCTGAGGCAGAAGAATCGCTTGAACCCAGGAGGCAGAGGTTGCAGTGAGCCAAGATCGCGCCATTGCACTCCTGCTTGGGTAACAACAGTGAAACTCTGTCTCAAAAAAAAAACAAAAAAAACACCAAACCTGAGATTGGAGTGTGCCAACATGCACAAGGAACAGCAAGCAGGGTAGGGTAACAAGCTGAATGAATGAGAGTAGTAAGAGATGAAGTGAGAGAGGACATAATGCTTTGCAAAGAAGCACTCTAAGCTGTTAAGTTGGAAATAGATTGAAGAAGGCAAGAATAGAAGTAGGGAAATGAGTTAGTCGGTTATTGCAGTGAGAGCAATAATGGTGGCTTAACCCTTGAACGCAGTGGTAGGAGTGGAGGTGAGAAGTGATCTATTCAGAAGGGCAAAGGCTGATTTAGAGGGAGACTAGTATAAGAAAACACAAACAAAATAAAACAGGAAAACCCTGAACTAGCAATTTGGGGACCTGTGTCTGTCACAAATTAAGTCGGAAGCCACTTCCTTTCTCTGCAGTGTTCTCATGTAAAATAAGGATATTGCGCTGGATGATTCTAAGTCCCCTTGCAGCTGTGATTGAACAGGCCTTTTGAAAGTCAGATCATCAAACGAAAGGATAGGAGTTAATATTTTCTGAGCTCTTAATAGGGACCCAAACTCTCCTATTTACTTTACATATACCAAACTCATAATCCTCATGAGAGGTAAAAAGTATAATGTACATCCTGGCTAACACGGTGAAACCCCATCTCTACTAAAGATACAAAAAAAATTAGCCGGGCGTGGTAGCGGGCACCTGTAGTCCCAGCTACTGGGGAGGCTGAGGCAGGAGAATTGCTTGAACCCCGGAAGCGGAGGTTGCAGTGAGCCAAGATTGCGCCACTGCATTCCAGCCTGGGCAACAGAGCGAGACTTTGTCTCAAAAATAAAAAATAAAAAAGTAAAATGTATTAGAGAGAAGTTTAGCAGTTTGCCTAAAGTCACACAGCCAGTAAATGGCAGAGCTAGGAATTCATCTGACCCTGGAGCCTAAACTCTTTCTTGATAAAAGCCCAAGTTTTGTGCTGCCTGAAACAGCCTGAGTGACCAGCACTGTTGTCTGTAGTTGAACATTCAGGTGTGAGGCCGAGTGGGGAATTAAGGTGACCTCCAACCAAAGTGGAATTTGGCTATAAACCAGCCCAGTTTGTCTTCAGTTCTCAAAATAAAGTTCTTTCAATCTGAGCCAAAGAGTCACTGAGGAATTTATGCTAGTCTACCTCTGTAACTTACTTGTATAGGATCCTCCATCTCTGTTCCTTAGTTTTCCATCTATATCCAGAAAGAATACAGAGCCTAAATCTGCAAATCCTTAACCATTAATTCAGCTCCCACTCACAGGACAGTGGGCAAGTTATAGCCTTCTGAGAAGCATGATGTGTCCTTGCCCACATCACTTTTAGATCCCATGATTTTCTGTTACCATTGAATCCCAAGGTCCCTTGGAGTTTTAAGAACTAGGCTTAAAGTAAATAGAAAAAGGGGTCTTAAAAAAAAGCACCAACTGTTAAGTTGGAACACTTCTATTTCTTCTTGTCATAGAATCAAACAGCTAAGCAACACTCTGTCTGCAACTAAGAAGAAAAAGTTATTTGCTCTTCATTTATAAAGCCTAAACCTGGCATTGAGAAGATCAGCATTTAACCTGGTATGACATACAGTATTGTCTTGTTCTGCTATGCCTCTGGATCACTGATTGAAGACTAAATGAGGAAAATAAAACTTTGTTACATTAAAAGTAATGAGAAAAGTGCTCCAGCATATACTTTCGGACCTGTGAGTTTTCCTGAGGAGAAATGCCACTTTAAAATTTCATCTAATATAATATAGTACCTCCTAAGCTTCAATGAATCCAACAAATAGAGTATAGGTAATCCTTTAAACCATCCATATGAATTTATTCAAAATTATTTTGCTTCTTGTGTTCCTTTTTAACCTCAAAATCTTAACTTATGAATCATACTTATTGTGATCCTACGGAAATGGCATTCACTGATATACTAATTTGGTCTTTTAGGATGAAAATGTGATGGAGTTACATGTTACTTAGCAACTCTGTTCTGTTCAAGACTGTTGAGGTAGGCAAAGCAAACAGGAGAGAATACAAATTTGGGAAATGAGGCAGGGGCAGTTGGTTGAGGAGGTAGAGGGAAAAGCCAGTTGGAACATTTTATTTACTTTCCACATCAGCATTTAAGCCCAAATCCTTCCAGAAACTCTTCTGAGAGAGATTGTACACATGGCACTATCATTCATCGGCCAGTCATTTGGGCTAATATGTGGCTGGGTTAGTACTTCTGAGGGTACTGCTGTCTTTTCGAAGATTCAGCAGCCGTACCATTCATTTGCAAAGCAGTCTTTCCAGCAGTCAGCCTTTTCCTGTGTGTCTTGTTCTTTAAGGAGTCTCTGCAGATTTATTGCAATTTGATTGTGAATCTTCTTGCTTTTGGTTATGGGCTTCCTTATTAGCATATCCCCAAATTCCTTTACAGTGTGTGTGCTCCAAGCACTACTAAGCAGTTCTGTCCAAGGCGTAGTGCAGATCATGCAGGGAAAGAAACCTAAGTGCTTTTACTGCTGATCACGCTGGGGAGGAGAGGAAAGTTTCCTAGGACAAGCAGGGAGGGAGACAAGACCCAAGGGGCTGAAAGAGGCCAGGTTCCTGGGACTAATGGATCTGTGTTAATGGCATCCAGGCCAGCAACTGCAGTGGAAGAGCCTTAACCAAAGTCCTGGCAGAGCCTCGTGATTGTGTTCAGAAGCTAAGCCCTGGGGCAATCGGACCCGGGAAGGGAGGACCTCATTTCCAGATGGTTTACAGAGCAAAGCCCAAGCCTCGCCTGTGGAATGGAGAGAGCCGAAAGCCTTGGTCTGGCCATCTTTCCCACCACAGTCCAATGCTCCAAATCTAGATGGTAAACTTCAATTATAATTTAAACCAACATCTTTCTCCTCTGACTTCCAGGGAAAAGTATAAGGTTAATAGGTAAAACATTTTCAGCAGCTGCATTTGCTAATCACCCACTTTGCACCTGTAGTTGGCCTTGCCTCCAAAACTGGAAACACCTCTTTTAAGTGCTTTGTTGGCTGAAAATACTGTCTTCTAAAACTTTGATGATTTGGCAGGAAACCTCTGCAGCAGAAGTATTTCTGAGCAGGCGTCAAATCATGGCATGGCCCTCATCTAGGGAGCATGTATCCAGGAGCTCGGCCACTTTTAAACAAGAATTTATCAAGGGGCAGACAAAGCTAATCTGCCACCATTCACATGTACCTAATAAAATACTGTATTACCCCACAAATTATCAAACTATGTTAGTTTGTCTGAAGCTTGCTTTTGAATAACTATCACAATTGGAACAAGCTATAGAAAAATTTATTTCAGATAAGTAACTGATAATGATGATGACAGATATTATCAGTTATTATTCCTGATGTCTTAGTGTGTGCCAAGCATTTCAATACATTATCACATTTAAATGATTGCAACAACCCTATAAGAGAGACATCTTTATCTCTCTTTTGAAAGATGAGGGAAAATAGCTGTGTAGAATTAAGAAAACAAGCCCAACTTTGTAGTGACAGGGTTTAATTTTGAAATAGATTTGTTTGGGTCAAAGGCTTGTTCTTAATTGTTGACTAGCACACTTATATTAAACCAAACAAAGCTGTCACAAGTCAATGGCACAAAGAACGTTGCCTGACCTAAGTTCAGATTCTGTAAGACAGCCAATGAGACAATCTTTGAGTCTTCTTTTTGGCAGGGAATCCTTTGTCTGTCACTAGGTCACAGCTTGCTGCCCATCTGGCGACTTGCCCACACTGCTTCGTGGTAGCTGCCTGACCCACTGCACTTCCCTGAATCATGATGCTCTTACTGTCCTCCCTCACCATCCTTCCCTTTGTAGACATATCATGTTAAGGTTTGCTTTGATAGCTCACTATTTTCCCTCTTTCTGCAACTTCAGAACTTCAAGGAAACAGCTTAGAAATCTAGACATTTCTGCAGTATACTTACTGTCGCCCTGAGGGTCACTCTCTAGTGAATAATCTGAATTATCATCCAGAAATGCATCAGGCTTTCAGTGAAAACACAATTTTATAAGCATATATTGCCATAACCCCTCCAAGTTTTACCATCACAGCACAGGGGGTCTTGAGGCTGGAAGTGGACCAACACAAAGTCTACCACCTCCACTTCCTGAGCACTTTCTCTGCCTGATCCACTTATGAGCTAATTTATGGAAGTGACTAAAACAGAAATTGGAAATGCTCGTATTAGTCCAAATCTATTAGAGGAGTTTTATCTTTGCAAAAGTTTTTCAAAATGCATCTTTCCAAATTTCAGTGTAATATTCTGGTGAGAGGAGTGGAAACATATATCTCAATTGCATGTTGAACTGAAGAGTAAGTTTGTAGTTCCTTCTATACATTGCTTCCTTTAAATTACTAAAAATGTCTTCTTTGCTTGGCAGTCCAGCATTTTATTGCCTGTCTTTTATACATTACGTTTTGCAATCCTTTATAATTCTGGAGAATAACAGAATAACAGCTTATACCACTTGGTAGCTAAATGAACCATAGGACATCTTCCATTCTGTATTGAAAGTGGGATTAATACAGAGTTCAGAGCAATTGACTTGTAGCTCATTCAGTCATTTGTAGTGTATTCATTATACCTTTCATCTCTGGGAGAAGGGCAAAAATAAAAGTGCCTTTACATGCAGCTCTAAAGGAAGACATGGATCATTTATCCTTCTGATTATGATTTTCTTAAAATGATACCTGTGGAGAAGGGGACAAGACTGGAATCTAAAACACACACAAATTCCACAGCAAAATATACCCATGTCTCTCAGCATCATCAAAATTGAATTAAACTAATGTGTACTCTACCGAAATGACTTTCTGCTGGAGAATAGACTCTGGAGAGGAACATGAGAGGGCTGGTGAGAAGATGAGTGTGGACATATGTTGGAGAGACCCTAACTTAGATGTAGAATAAAGTAAGACCTATCTCTTATTACAAGAAATTTGAAAGGCTTTTAACTTCCAAAGACCTCTTATGGAAAGAAGGCTCCTTCAGCTTTACAATAGGTGATTCACTTTATCATATTAATAAAGCTATTTAGAAGCAACTGGTCAAACTGATTCAAGAAATGAAAGCACATCTTCCTAAGGCACAGGGGTCAAAATCATTTTTTAAAAACCTATGATAGAGTACTTCTACTTTGAAGAATATAGAGTAGATTTGCTTTCCCCCATTCACCCCATTATATACAATTAAAATCCCTAGACATGGCTGGGCGTGGTGGCTCATGCCTGTTATCCCAGCACTTTGGGAGGCTGAGGTGGGCAGATCACCTGAGGTCAGGAGTTCGAGGCCAGCCCGGCCAACATAGAGTGAAACCCCATCTCTACTAAAAAAATACAAAAATTAGCTGGGTGTTGTGGCACATGCCTGTAGTCCCAGCTACTTGGAAAGCTGAGGCAGGAGAATCACTTGAACCCGAGAGGCGGAGGTTTCAGTGAGCCGAGATCATGTCACCGCACTCCAGCCTGGGTGACAGAGCAAGACTCCGTCTCTCAAAAATAAAAACACAAGGTATCCCAATCTTCCTACCCTAACAGGGTAGTGTCAGAGAAGAACAAGTAGGGAGTCTGGACTTTTATCCCCAGTAGGAAGTAAATCTCCCCTTTTCCTTCCCCATCCTTGCTGGTATGGTGTTGGAGGAGACCTGGTAGAAAGTCAGGATTTTTAGCACCCAGCAATGGTAGTGAGTCTTCTCCCACAATGTTGTGTCAGTGAAGGCCACGTGGGAAACAGTGATAAGATATTCCTACCCTCCAAGCCACGAAGGTATCAGTGGAAACCCAGTGAGGAGCTTGAACTCCCATCACCACCCAGAAGTAATGAGAAGCCTCTCCGTCAGGTGTTATGGAGGGTGAATTGGGAACCTGAACCTCTGTTTCCACGTGGAAGTAACAAGGCAGTTCCCTCATAATAAAATACCCAAAATGTCCAGATTTCAAAGATCACTCATCACACCAAAAACCGGAAAGATCTCAAACTGAATGAAGAAAGACAATCAATGACTGCCAAAACAGAGATGTCAGATATATTAGAATTATTGACATTTTAGGCCAGGTGCAATGGTTCATGCCTGTAATCTCAACAATTTGGGAGGCCAAGGCAGGTGGATCACTTGAGACCAGGAGTTTGAGACCAGCCTGGCCATCATGGCAAAACTCCATCTCTACTAAAAATACAAAAATTAGCAAGGCATGATGGCACATGCCTGTAGTCCCAGCTATTCAGGAGGCTGAAGCAGGAGAATCGCTTGAACCCGGGAGGTGGAGGTTGCAGTGATGCGAGATCATGCGATTGCACTCCAGCCTGGGCAATAGAGTGAGACTCTTGTCTCAAAAAAAGAAGAATTATCTGATGTTTTAAAGCAGGCATTATAAAAATGATTTAATGAGCAATTACAAACACATTTAAGTGAAAAACACAGTCACAACAAATAACAGAAAGTATCAACAAAGAGAAAATATAAAGAAAAACTAAATAGAAATTTTAGAACTGAAAAAATAAAATAACTATAACAAAAAATTTATTGGATGGACTCAACAGCAGAATGAAAGGGACAGAGGAAATAATCAGTGAAAGAAAGACAGGACAATAAAAATTACCCAATTTTAGGCCAGGCGCAGTGCCTTATGCCTGAATCCCAGCACTTTGGGAGGAAGAGGTGGGCAGATCATGAGGTCAGGAGTTCGAGACCAGCCTGGCCAATATAGTGAAACCCCCATCTCTACTAAAAATACAAAAAATTAGCTGGGCGTGGTGGCATGTGCCTATAATCCCAGCTACTCAGGAGGCTGAGGCAGGAGAATCACTTGAATCCGGGAGGCGGATGTTGCAGTGAGCCGAGATCATGCCATTGCACTCCAGCCCGGGCAACAGTGTGAGACTCCACCAAAAAAACAAAAACAAACAAACAAAAAAAAACATTACCTCTTCTTAACAACAAAGAAAAAATAAACTGTAAAAAAAAGGCTCTGGGATCTGTAAGACTGTAATAACAGATTTAATATTCATGACATCAGAGTTTCAGAGTAAGAATAAGAGTGGGCAGGATGAAAAAAGTTCTCAAAGAAATAGTGGCTGAAAACTTCCCAAATTTGGCAAAAGACAAAATTATAAATTTAAGAAGTTGAGTGGATATCAACTAGGATAAGCCCAAAGAAATTTATACCGGGATACATCATAGTCAAACTTCTGAAGACTAAAGGCAAAAACATCTTAAAAGCAGCAAGAGGGAAATGATGCATTATCTATATGAAAAAATAAATGACAATGGCTTTCTCATTAGAAACTATGGAGGCCAGTAGTAAGTGGCATAATATTTTTCAAGCACTAAAAGAAAAGAATTGCCAACCCAATGCAAACATCTTTCAGGAATAAAGAAGAAATTAAGACATTCTCAGATGAAGGAAAACTGAGAGAATTCATCATCAGAAAACCTACCCAAAAAGAATAGCTTAAGAAAGTTTTCTGAATAGAAAGGAATCAAAAGAAAGACCTAGAAATATCAAAAAGGCTGAGAGAACACAGTAAGCAAAAGTATGACTAAAAATAATACACTTTTCTTCTCCTCTTCATCATGTTTGGTGGGGGAAACAAAAATAATAACATTGTTTAATGTAGTTCTGAATTTATATAAAGGATTTAAGGTAATTAAAAATGGGAGAGGGTGAAGAGACAAAGCAATGATTCTATACTTCAAATTTAAAATGAACACACACACATATTTTACGTACACACACATGTAATATCTAGAGCAAATACTCAAAAAGCCATACAAAAAGATATATCAAAAACTCTAGTTATGTCAAAATGGAATTCTGAAAAATGTTTAACCTCAAAAAGGTAGGGGGAGTGAAACAAGCAACAACCAAAGAAAATAAAAAATAAAATGGCAGACTAAGGTCTAACATACCAATAATTTCACTAAATTTAAGTGGCCTAAATACACTAATTAAAAGACAGAGATTGGCAAAATAGACTTCAGAATATGACCCAAATATTCTGTCTACAAACTCACTTCAAATATGATGATGTAGAAAGCTTAAGAGTTAAAAAATGTAAAAAGAAATATCATGTAAACATTAACAAAAGGGAAGCAATAGTGGTTATATTAATATCAGACAAAGGAGACTTCAAGCAAAAAAAGTTACCAGAGACAGGGAGGGATATGATATTCTATAACAATAAAATTATTAATCCACCAAAAAGACAAAGCGATTCTAAGTGTATGCACAAACAAGAGGGTCTGCAAAATATATGAAGCAAAAACTGATGGGACTAAAAGAAAAAATAGACATGTCCACAGTTATAGTTGGAGATTTCAACTTCCCTTTCTCAACAATTGACAGAACAACTAAATAGAAAATCAACAAGAATATGCAATAACTTAATAACACTATCAAGCATCAGAATCTAATCAACGTTTATGTGCCCATGGAACATGCACCAAAATAGATGCTATTCTGGATCATAACAAACTTAAACAAATTTCTAAAAACTGAAATCATAAAGAATGTGTTCCACAACTGCAATGGACTCAAACTAGAAGTCAATAAAAGAAAAATCTGCAAATACTTGGATAGTTCATGGATCAAAAAAGGAGTCTCAAAGGAAATGTAAGAATATATTGAACTAAAAAAAATGAAAATATATCAAAATTTGTGGGATACAGGTAAAATAGCAATGAGAGAAAAATGTATAGCACTAAATGCATACACTATAAAAGAAGAAGCTATCTCAAATCAATAACTGAAATCCGAGTTCAAAAACCTAGAAAAAGAAGGACAAAATAAACAAAGCAAGCAGAAGGAAGAAAACAATAAGGATTAAACTAGAAATCAATGGAAATGAAAACAGAAAAATAAAGAAAATCAATGCCACAAGGAGCTGGTTCTTTGAACAGGTTAGTAAAATTAAAAAAAAAAAATCTAGCAAGACTAACAAATAAAAAAGGGAGAAGACACAAATCACCAATACCAGGAATGAAATGGAACATCACTACAGATGCTGCAGACAGTAAAAGGATAATAAGAGAATCTTAGAACAATTCTACATATATAAATTTGACAACTTTGATAAATATACCAATTTCTCAAAAAACATGCTACCACCACTCACCCAATATAAAATAGTTTCATTAACCCTATAACTATTCATAATTATAAACTCCCCAGACATCTCCAAGCCCAGACGTTTTCACTGGATGATTCTACCACACATTTAAAGAATTAACACCAATTCTGCACAATTTCTTTCAGAGAAAACAAGAGTAGCAAACCCTTCCCAATTCATGTTATAAATCTAGTATTATCCCAGTACCAAATGGGACAAAAATAGTACGCAAAAAATCTACAAACCAATCTCTCTTGAATATAGAGGCAAAAATCTTAACATCATTAACAAATAGAATTTAGCAATATGTTTAAAAATTATATACCATAACTAAGTGGAATTTATCCCATAGATGCAAGAATGTTTGAATATTTCAAAATCAGTGTAATCTACCATATAAACAGATTACAGAAGAAAAATTACAAGATTATATCAATTGATGCAGAAAAAGCATTGGACAAAATTGACACTCATTTATGATTTAAAAAATACTCAGAAAACTAGGGATAAAGAGGAACCTCCTCAAATTGTTAAAGAGCACCTCCAAAAATTCTATAGTTAAATACACTTAATAGTGAAAGAATAAAATCTTTCCCTCTAAAATCAAGAACAGGGAAAGGATATTAGCTTTCACCACTCTTATTCAACATAGTGCTGGAAATTCTAACCACTGCATTAAGGCACAAAAAGGAAAGAAAAGGCATGTAAAACAGGAAGAAATAAATCTGCCCTTCCCTATTTGCAGATAACATAATTGTCTACATAAAAATCCCCCCAAAAAAATGAGTTCAGCAAGGTTGCAAGATACAAGACAAATGTACAAAACTCAGTTGTATTTTTATATAACAGCAATGATCAGGGACACTAAAATTTAAGACAGTATTATTTACAATTGCTCAAATAAATGAAATACTTTGGTGTGAATCTAGCAAAACATCTACATGAATTGTATGCCTAAAATTACAAAACAGTGATGAAATCAAAGATCTAAATAAATGGAGAGATATACTGTGTTTATGGACTGAAAGACCTCACATAATATAGACATCAAACTCTCAAATTTGAAATACAAGACTTTTTATATGGCTACAGTAATCAAGAATTTGTATACTGATGGAGGGATTAACACAAAGCTCAATGGAACAGAATAGAGAACCCAGAAATAAACCGATATATCCTGTACTGATTGTTTTTATAAAGGAGTAAAAGCAATTCAGTGGAAGAAAAATAGCATTTTCAACAAATGATGCTGGAACATTTACACATCTGTAGACCAAAAATAAAAGAAAACTAAAACACAGCCTTGACCTAATCCTTACACTTCATACAAAAATTAACTCAAATTAGGTTATAGACTTAAATGCAAAATGTAAAACTATAAAACTTCTACAAAAGAATAGGAAAAAATCTACAGGATTTTGGTCTATGCAAACTTCTCAGACTTGACGCCAAAAGCACAATCCATAAAAGTTTATAAATTAGACTTCATCAAAATTAAAAACTTTACCTGTGGAAGGACTCTGTTAAAAAAATAAAAAAGGATGAAAAAAAGCTCAGCATGAGAGAAAATACTTGCAAACCCTACATCCAACAAAAGACTATATACAGATTCTATAAAGAGCTCTTAAAATTCAGGAGTAAAAAAAAAAGCCGATCCAATTTGAAAATGACAAAGATTTGAACAGACATTTACCAGAGTGAATGACAATTGAGCATGTTAAAACATGTTCAACATCACTAGCCATTAGGGAAATGCAAATTAAAACCACAATGAGATGTCACTACACACCTATTAAAATGGCTAAAATAAGCAATAATGACAATACTAAATGCTGGTAAGGACACAGAGAAATTAGATCACTCATACATTACTAATGGGATGTAAAATGGTACAACCACTGTGGAAAATAATACGGCAGTTTCGGGCACGGTGGCTCACGCCTGTAATCCCAGCACTTTGGGAGGCCAAGGCAGGCGGATCACGAAGTCAGGAGATCAAGACCATCCTGGCTAACACGATGAAACTCTATCTCTACTAAAAAATACAGAAAATTAGCCAGGCGTGGTGGCGGGCACCTATAGTCCCAGCTACTCGGGAGGCTGAGGCAGAAGAATGGCGTGAACCCGGGAGGCGGAGCTTGCAGTGAGCCGAGATCACGCCACTGCACTCCAGCCTGGGTGACAGAGCGAGACTCCGTCTCAAAAATAAATAAAATAATAAATAAAACTAAATATAACCTGGGGATAACATCACTATTATAAAGCCTAAGATCAGTGCTTGAGATATTTGGCAGACCCTGCACGTGATGGATCAGCTGGCACCACCCAGACAGATAAACTGGCTCATCTGACCTTGTAACCTCCACCCAGAACTGACTCAGCACAAGACAGCTTTGACTCCCTTTGATTTCATTTCCAATCCAACCAATCAGCACTACTGAAAAAAAAAAATTAAATATGCAGCTACCATATAACCTAGAAATTGCCCTCCTGGGCTTTTATCCCAGAAAAATAAAGACTTACGTTCAAACAAAGACCTGTATACAAATGTTTATAACTTATTTTACAATAGCCCAAATTATTGTAACTTATTTTACAATAACCCCAAACTGGAAATAATCTAACTAATGAATGGTTAAACAAACTGGTAAATTCATACCATGGAATATTAGTTAGTGATAAAAAGAAATAAACTATTGATACAACAACCTGAATAAATCTCCATAGAAGTGTGAAGTTATATACTATATGATTCCATTTAGATAAACTTCTTGCAATAACAAAATTATATAAATGAAGAACCTATGGCCAGGCACGGTGGCTCACTTCTAATCCCAGCACTTTGGGAGGCTGACGCAAGCAGAAAACTTGAGGCCAGGAGTTCAAGACCAGCCTGAGCAAAATGGTGAAACCCTGTCTCTACCAAAAATACAAAAATTAGCCTACTGTGGTGGCACATGCCTGTAATCCCAGCTACTCGGGATGCTGAGGCAAGAGAATCACCTGAATCCAAGAGGCAGAGGTTACTGTGAGCCAAGACCACACCACTGCACTCCGCCTTGGGTGACACAGCAAGACTCTTGTCTCAAAAAACAAAAGACAAGAAAAAAAAACTTATTAGTTTATTAGTGGTTGTCAGGGCTTAAGAAGAGGTTAGGGACCAGGAGGAAAACAGATGGTTATAAAAAGGTAACATGAGAGATCTTTGTGGTAATGGAACTGTTCCGTATCTTGACTGTATCAATGTCAGTATCCTGGCTGTAGAATTCTACAGTTTTGCAAGATATTACCATTGACGGACACTGGGTAAAAAATATGCTGAGTCTTGCTGAGTTTCTTTTTACTGATGTGTGTGAATCCTCAATTATCCCAACACAAAAGTTTAATTTAATAATATATATTCAAACCTTCAGATAAATCTTACCAAAATTAATTTTTTTTTAACTATGATACATGGTACCTTAGCCTGTTCAGGCTGTTATAACAAAATGCCATAGCCTGGGTAGCTTATGAACAACAGAAATGTATTTCTCATCATTCCAGAGGCTGGAAAATCAAGGCAGTGGCAGACTCAGTGTCCACTGAAGGCCCCTTTTCTGGTTCATAGTTGGTGCACTCTAGCTGTGTCTTCACATGGTGGACAGAGCAAACAAGTTCCCTTGGGCCTCTTTTCATAAGGGCACTAATGCCATTCACGAGAGTTCCATTCTTGTGACCTAATCGCCTCCCAAAGATCTTACATTCTAATACTATCACTTTGGGAGTTAGAATTTCAACATATGAATTTGGGAGGACAGAGACATTCAGACCATAACACATAGTTTCCTGGACTATGTGATAGCAAAATTTCATAATAGTTTTCTAACTCTATATTAAATATACTGAAAAGTGTTATCATTATGGGTATTTTCAAGAGTTGGTGATATAGTTTGGCTTTTTTTTTTTTTTGCATGTTTTGTAAAATCTCAGGGGTAGGTACCCCAGATTTTTATGTTACACTCTTATGACTAAAATACTAAATAATATACCAAATTCACTAAATGAAAAAGAAAAAACTTAGGGGCTTGTCTGTCTGTTTGAATACTAGCCAAAAGCTAAAGGAAACTGCTATATTATGAATAGTAGAAACAACTCCGTTTCAGAAACTTAAGTTTATTTTAGAAATTAATTTCAAGCCTATTTGAAAACAATTGTAATTCTAATAAGAATTAAAATTCAAACCATTTTGGATGATAAATATTTAAAAGCTTTTGGTCTGGAAATAAAACTGGAACAGAGCAAAGAAACTAATGTTATCAAATCCACTGTGGTGGAGTGAAATGTCTGTTTTACCGAGAGGATTTTGGTCCAAACTGCTAATCACTGAAAACACATTCCCATTCTGTAACTACCACTACATTCATATAAACCTGATATTTATTCCTGATGAATTTTATTCCTATTTCCTCAACTTTCTTCTTTAAAAAAACTTTTAAAGCTTTAATTAAAAAAAAAATTATTTGAGCCCTCAATTCCTAAGGCATGAACATGCGCAAGCAAACCCATATAAACACACCTAATCCTCTCTCCTTGATTCAGACTACATGAAATTTAATAGGAAGCCTAAATTCAAGCCCAGCATCTTCCTTCTCAGTATAATTTACTTGTTCATTCATGTTTGAGATCAACTTCTTCTCACGGCCATTAGTGGCAAGAGAGAAGCCTGGTTCCCAAGGTATACACTAAGCCTGTGCCAGGGGGCACCAACCAAGTAGGGAACATCAGTGGGAAATGATAATTTTGGAAAGGATCAAAGTCATGTTTGAGGGGAAAATTATAACTTAATTGCTCTTCCCTTCACTTTATGGCTTAGTAGTTATATTCAGATGCTAGGGCTGCCATAGCAAAGTACCACAAACTGAGGGGCTTAAACAACAGAAATGTATTATTTCACAATTCTGGAGCGTAAAAGCCTGAAATCAGTGTCTTCAAGGTTGGGTCCCTCCGAGGGCTGTGCAGAAGAAACTGTTCCCTGCCTCTCCCCTAGTTTCTGGTGATTTGCTGGCATTCTTTATCGTACCTTGGCTTGTGGGGGCATCACCCCAATCTCTGCCTTCCTCTTCACATGGTATTCTTCCTGTGTGTGCATCTGTCTCCAAATTTCCCTGTTTTATAATGACACCAGTCATTTTGGATTAGGGCCCACCCTAAGGACCTCATTTTAACTTGATTAGCTACGTAAATACCCTATCTCCAGATAAGGCCACATTCTAAAGTACTGGGGGTTATGACTTTAACATATAAATTTAGAGGGGGACACAATTCAACCCATAATAGTAGTGTTTAAGTGTGAATTAAAAGGTGTTGAGAAACTGACTGATGACAATTTCCTTACTCTTTGATATGGGTTATGACCAACAGTCATATGATGGGTCAGAACCTGCCCTCCTACTGAGATATTTCATTCCCCTCAATCATCAGACATCCTAAAATTCTCTACAAGCTCATTTGGTCTAATGTCCATATCACTGTAATGTCAAGTCTGCATTGGCGCATATATACACAAAAAAAGTTATCTGCCCATTTTTCAACGGGGAAAATTAGACCCAGAATGACAAAGTAGCCTATCTGATACAGTTAAGCAAGTAGATTCTGTACCAAAGAGAGTCTAATAAAGCCTCTGCTTCAAAAACTGTGTCCTTTCTTGTGTACTTACATATTTCTTTGTGTTTTATTTTCCTAAGGGCTTTACAGAAATTTCTATCATTTGCAATCTGTTCTTCTAGTTATATGAATCTATTTTCTCTTTAACCAGCATTTTTCTTTCCTTGACATAAAAAAAAGAAAATAAAGAACCAGCTTTTCTAAAAAACATGTTGCAGCTCTCCTACACGTCAGTAAGTATAGAAGCTAAAATTGACTTACTTTGCTGCATATCGTGTCATTTATCTAATGGTGTAATCTAAGGGAATAACCTCTGATTTGAAAATGTGAGTACTCAGTTTTAGGATTGGACTACTTGGCTCTGATGTGAGTGTGAGTCATGGAATTTTATGACCAGATGTGTCTTTGGAAATTATCCAGGCCAACCCTCTTTTAATACCAACTGTTGGTGAAAACTGAAGTTCAGAAAGGCCAAGTAATTTCCCTGGGGTCACAGAGCAGTGTTAGAAGCCAACCCGAGAGCAGAATTCAACATTCCTACTGACTCCTCATCCAGTGCCCTTTCTACTCCTGGCTGTTTCAAGTACACAGGCAAGACACTCTCAAAGCTAAACAATGGTAAAAGAATGGTGGCAAGAGAAAGTAATGTTTATTTAATTTATAGAAGAAAAGAATGCCTTCTGATATCCCTCATTCCAGGCATGACTTAAATATGGAAAAACACATGGTTTTGTGAAACTCTTCAAGTCTTTTATCAGGGAGTAGGATTACTGAGGTTCTACAATATCCTAGGTTTTGGAAATAGTGGACAACATGGACCTGGTCCCTGCCTTATGGAGCTGAAAGTCCAGATGAGAAGACAGATGTTATATAAATCATTATAAACAATTAAGTTTAAAAATTACAATATCTAAAGAGATGAAAAAATGTTACTGAGACAACCAACTTGGCCTGGGTTCTGAAGGAAGACTTCCCTGAAGCATTGATGTTTGACCTGAAATCTAGAGGATATGTAAGTGTTCTAATGGACATGTTCCATTAGGAAGATCGAGGGGGCATAGAACAATGCATGGCTGTGCTCAGATAATTGAGAGATGTCCCACATGGCTAAAGCAGATGGATTGATGTTAGACAGCACCAGAGATACAAGTGAAACCTGATAACCCAGGTGTAGAGGTGTATAGACCATGTTAAGGGTTTAGAAATCCATTTAATATAATTAAGCAAGGGAAAGATGTGAGATCAGATTTATCTGTTTAAAAGTTCATTCCAGCATCATTATGAGATGGATTAAAGCACAGGAGGGAGACAGGCCAGGTAGGAGGTGAACATACAGGCCAGATACAGCACGCACATAGTATGTGCTCTGGACCTGCCCAGTTAATTCAGCGGAATTCTTTTATTCCAGTGACATATCTTGTGTTTCTTGTCTTTTTAAAATAAAATGCAACCCCATTACTCAGTACTGCTCTTAATGAACACAATTGTTTTTAAAAGACAGCAGATACCTAATGGATATTTAAAAACAATTATTTCACTGTCTTATTGAAGGAAGCTTTTTGCTGCATTAGAATTGTAATTTAAAATTATATTTGGGCTAATTGCAAATATTCTTATTGTAAAGAACTTTGATTTAAATGATACATTGTCAATACAAATAATGTGAATGAATCATCAACTCAACTATTGAAGTAATGGTAAGCTGCCATCCATTATATTTGCACTGACTGTGCTCCATGTTAATTTTTTAATGTCTTATTTTGGTGAAAATCAGATAGTGTATATGTGTATGTGTGTGCGTGTATATATATATACACATATTATATATATATATGTATATATATATGGAATACATAGAATAATGCATTAACTTCATGGAGGAATCCAAAAAGATTCTGTCAAATTATTTTTATGTGTCCTGCAATGATCAGACATCATAAAAAACAATGTGCTTTTTAAAAAATGTACCTGAAATAGTTTTTACAAGGGTTTCAAAAAGAATAGTTTTCATATAAATAATTTATCTTGTTTTCTTAAAAAAAAAAAAACAGTGGACCATTTATGTCACTGGTATGATATGAGACCTAAGCATAACATATGGATGAGTGCTACCATTTATTATTCTCTTTTTGACAATCTGAATTATCCTTTGGATATTACTCTGAATGATAAATCAAGCAATTTAAAAGTGGAACTCAAAATTGGAAAATTGAAGTTGTAAGTGCTTTTATCTTAAGTGATGATACGTTCATGTACCTTGAATAGTAAGTGCTCTAGCTTTGAGTTAACTTTATGACAATGAGCTCTTCAGTGAGTAATGTTAGGCTAATACAATATGCAGGTCCTAGGAGTCAGGGTTAAGTATGAATCGTATATCTACTGACTTTCATGAGAAATCAATTCAGCATATGTGTAAACTTTTATTCTATAGTTTTTTCTGACAAACAGTATACTACATTCTATCAACTGCCATTGAATAATTGCAAGTTTTCTTTGAAGAAAGACTAATTCTTTTTCAAGAATTGTTGTGTATAACATTATTTTACCTTATTCCCTGGAGTGTGGCATTTTTTAAGAAAATGCATTCTTTCAGAATTTTGATTGAAAGGAGACATGATTCTTGCCAAGACTATACAAATACTCATTTTTCTCCCATGTTGGTTAGGAGCATCTAAATGCTAGAATCTCTGGCTTTGAAGGAGGTAAGTTTGTTTGTTTGTTTTCACTCTTATTGTTGATAAAGGAGATGGAGAAAAGGCTTGCCATGGATTAATCTTTTACCATTCACTTTCCTTTGAAATCCCTGGTTTTACTGACCATTAAAAACTGCATGGTGACAGTAATCCCCATTTCCATTCCCAATACCTTGGACCAAGTGATAAGGCAAACTCCTGCACTTCTGCTTTGTGTTAAGTTAGTAAAACAGGGAGACCTGTAATGGAAACAGAAGAAGGCTTTTATGTGTAATCATTTCTGTTTCTGCCAGTTCTGTTCCAACATGGATTTGTATGTGCCATTTATTTTAAATACCTCACCGTTTTTATAAGTATACAAAACCCAGGAAAACAACAACAAATCTTGTTGCATCTGTTTATTTCTTCTAGGTTGGACAAATTGAAGATTTTCTATACCAATTAGAGGACAGTTTCTTAAAAACTAAAAAACTGAGAACTGCTCGAAGGCAAAAAACAAAAATGAAGCGACTTCAAACTGTTCAGCAAAGGTAGTCATTAGGGAGCAGGCACTACCACTAAGATATCCCAGAAGAAGAGGCAAGGGCATCCACTCCAATGCCCACCTAGTACTGTGAAGCTGGATAACAAAAGCTTGTCACCAAAAGAAAGAGGTGGTATTCCCCTCAGTTCATCTTTACCAAAGACACTCTATGTTTCATTAATCTCAACTGGCAGCAATAAATATTCTCAGCAAGTTTGACTTGACTTTTGTTCAGATTTTTCTTGTTTAGTTAAAGAGCTTATAAAATAACCATTGATACCTCTTTCACTGCCTTGATCTTTCAAAATGGACAAAGGTATATCAGGTCTACCCAATAATGCTTATAGTATACATCTATAATCATGTATATTCATTAAGAATCATTCACAGGCCACCTACAAATACAGAAAACAATATAAATGCAAAATTGAACTTATAAAACTAATAATGTACTTTCCCAACTCTTATAAAGATAGTCATACATGGTATGTCTGACATCAGTTAAGTTGTCTCATTAAGTTGTTTTTTTCCTCTAGATCCTTTATATTGTATTTTCTCTGCCCCTTAAGCTATGCAACACACATTTGACAAGATAGTCAAGTTTGCATGTTTGACAAGGTAGTGAGTTGATAGCCATCACTGAAGACCTCAACTGATGCCAATAAAAAGATCTGAGAATAGAATAAGGAGGAGGAGCCCAGATCCTGAGTAAAATAGAAAAACATAATTTGTTTAATAGTGAAAAATAAATAGAATTTTGGAATACATTGATAAAAGCTCAAAAAATAAAATGAACCCAATCAAAATTTCACAGCAGAAGTAATAGACTAAATGATTTATGACAGTTTATCCAATGCTTAACCTAATAACATACAAAAAATTATAATATTAAAGCTAGAGGCATCACACTACTGAATTTCAAAATAGATCACAAAGCTATAGGAATCAAAACAGCATGGTACTAGCACAAAAACAGCACATTGACCAGTGAAATAGGATACAGAGCCCTAAAATAAACCCACACATTTATGGTCAATTGACTTTTGACAAAGGTGCAAAGAACACACAATGGGAAAAGGATGATCTCTTCAATGAAAGGCATTGGTAAAACTGGATATCCACATGCAGAAGAGTAAAAATGGACTCTTGTTCCACTCCTTATACAAGAATCAATTCAAAATGGGTTAAAGACTTAAATGTAAGATCTGCGATTGTAAAACTACTAGTAGGGAATATAGAAGGGAAGCTGCATAACATTGGTTTGGGCTGTGATTTCTTAAGAGCCCATAAGCACATATAATGAAAGCAAAAATAAACAGCTGGGATTGCATCAAACTAAAGAGCTTTTGCACAGCTAAGGAAACAATTAACAGAATGAAGAGACAACCCACAGATTGGGATGAAATATTTGCAAATCATTTATTGGACAAAGGACTAATATCTAAAATATACAAGGAACTCAAACTACTCAGTAAAAATAAAACAAATAACCATATTAAAAAATGGGCAAAAGACCTGAAAAGACATTTCTCAAATGAAGATATACAAGTAGACAACAGATATATAAGAAAATGCTCAACAACTCTAATCATCAGAGAAATGTAAATTAAAACCACAATGAGATATCACCTAACATATGCTAGATTTGCTATTTATAAAAAGATTAAAGATATTAAGTGTTGTTGAGGACTTGAAGAAAAGAAAACCCTTGTAGATGATTGGTGGTACTGTAAATTAGTACAACCATTTTGGAAAACAATATGGGGATTCCTCAATAAGGTAAAAGAATTATCAGGGGACAAAACAGTCCAAGGTGGCTGACTAAATGCATCTAGCACTTGCTTCTTCCACAAAGAAGAACCAAATAGCAAGTAGATAATTATACTTCAAATAGATTATATGAGAGAGAACACTGGAATTCATCTGACAAGGGACAGGAAACACTGAGAGCAAGGAAGGAAAGGGAAGCAGGTCAGCCTGCTCAGCTGGGATTGGCTGGGAGCCTGGAGAAGCTTTCTAATGCAGGTGAAGGGTAAGTGAGAGACCCCCCCCTCAACTGGTCCATATTCCCACTGCAGACTCCTGCAGTCCTAGCCACTGGAAAGCCCCTTGACCCTTGCAGGCCCTGAGTAACATAAAGAACGGCCTGAAGACTGTACTCCAGAGAGGGAGCTCACAAAGAGTCCCAGGAACACCCAGGTCCTAAGTAGCTGCAGCAGGATGCCAGTTTGAGAAGCCAGTGCCCACCACACAGCATCTTGCCCTGGGGCCCAGACACCCCTACACCTCCACATTCCTGGATCCCACTGACATTCCCCACCTATAGCTGCCACTAATGGAGCCAAGACAGAAACCACTGGCAGCAACTCACCCTCCCAAGCAGAGGAGTGGCTGCACATTTTCACACACCCCTGCAACAGAAAGGATGCTCACAGAAGTAGAGAGTTGAATAGTAGTTACCAGAAACTTGGGAGAGACAGGTAAAGGGAAAACATTGATCAAAGAGGACAAAATTACAGTTAGAAAGGAGGAGTAAGTTCTGGTAATCTATTGCACAGCATGGTGACTACAAGTTAATAATAATGTGTATTTCAAAATAGCTAAAAGAGAATTTTAAATGTTCTCACCATAATGAAGTGATAAATATTTGCAGTGAGGGGTATGTTAATTAGCCTGATTGGATCATTCCACAATACACACATATAATGAAATATCGCATTATACACAATTATGAGTTGTCAATTGAAAATAAAACTTTTCAAAAATTTATAATGTTAAAAGAAAAAAGTAAGATATAAAACTACTAATATATGCCACATAATTATAACTACATTATAATTTGAATTAAATATATATTTGTTATTAAATATATACCTATAAAACACTGGAAAGAAATAAGATATTAAGAATGGCTATCTTTAGTAGGAGTAGTTAAGAGTAATTTTGTTATCTTTTCCTTAATGTTATGGAATATGTTCCTTGATAATAAAAAAAGTCTTTAAAAATTATTATTATTTATTATCACTTTGCAGAGAAAGAACTAATTCAGATCAGCTTTTCTTCCTAGTTTATATAAAAAATATGTATTTTTTCTTTATAAGAAAAAAGTATTATTTTTTCAGAGTATACATATATATGCATATATATTCTGAGATATATATATATATATATTCTGATACTGGCATCATAAATAATGGTGATTGCACAGACAGAAGCCAAAGGAAGCATTTCACTTAAAGAATTCTTTAAGGTATAAAAATTTTTATGACTGCCCCCACCAAGCATCCCTGGTGCAGGAAGTCCAGAAGGTCACTAGGTAACTATTACCGAAGAACCAATTATGGTGTTTTATCTGTGTTTACAAATAACAAATATGGTAATATGTGGGTTGTCCCTTGTCTCTCTCACTTGTGTTCCCTATAACTTTCTCCTCCGATTATTTTGTTTAGTTCTTTCCCTGTACTCACAGTATATCATCTCATGAAATATGAGATGATCACAGACCAACGTCCCTTAAATCAAAATGTATTGAAGGTTGAGAGACCACTGGCAGAGCAAAGCTGTGATTTACAGTGGCTTGATTCATTGAGATGATATGATGGAGTCTAAGTTCAATCAGATATTTCACAAGTGGCCTGATCCACTCAGCAGTTTCCTGGGCTCATGGACATGGATACAAAGGACTATTGTACAATCTTGACAAGCAGCAGATTGTCAAGATGGAGTGTAATGACACCTGGAGGCAGGCAGCTATTTATGACAAACCATCAAAGGAAAGGTAAGTCAGAAAATAGACCCAAAGAGCATCCCAAAAGTTTTAATGCGAGCATACTCTGTTTGTATCTTAATGAAAAAAAGCCAGAGACACTCACACCACAGGAGATAATCAAAGCTCAAAATTATTCTCCATGCATGTGATATAATAAATAGTATGGGAACTTGAAAATTGTATATTGAATATGTGCTTTTATTGTGATCCACCAATCCAAGGCAATGTGCAGAATTAATATGCATTAATAATCAAGACTTTAGCTTCCTTTTAAAATAAATGTTTGAAAAAGTAGCAAGGCAAATATTTAGTGAGAAATGAGAAGACCAAATCCCTGATGTTAACAGGAAGTCAGCCCTTTCTCTAAAACTCATACAACAGGTTGACAGATATAAATAGTTGTCTCAGGTCTGCTTCCATAAAGCCAGAAGGGAAAGCTGGTATAGTACAGCTGTTAAATAGAAAGATACCTCTCACAGGTGCCACCCAAGTTAGCTGATGATGATAGTAATCATCATATGAAAAGCAAAATGGGCTTAGATTTTGAAGACCTGTGTTCAAATCCTAGCTCTGTGTAAAAAGGGATAATTCTTTTCCTACCTAATAAGGTTTTAGTAAGGAATAAATGACATAATGAATCATGAAATAATTTTTAAACACTGAAGCAATAATACCTTACCTGTATTGACAACTCACTATAAACCAAACATTGTTCAGCTTTGTCCTTATCACAATGCTGAGACAAGAAATGTTATCTTCTTTTTACCTAATAGTAACGTCAAGCCCAAGGGGTGAAGTGACTTTCTTACAGCTAGAAAGTAGCAAAGCTTGAATTTGAACCAGGCAGTTTTACTCCAGAATAGGGACTTGATATACTGCTTTTCTGTGTTTTATTTTTATATCACTGTTTTTAGAACCTTGTGGGTCCTAAGTAAAATTAGAAATATACATGCCTAAGATTGCCCAAAAATGACCATGGGAACTTACTCCATCCAATTAGGTAGGCACTACTCATGTGGGACAACTGAGGCCCTGAAATTGGCTAGTGCAAACAAAGAACTGAATTTTTAATTTTAAATTTAACTTGTTAAAGTTAAATTTAAATTTAAAAACTGATACTCAATTCAGTTATTGGAAAATGTTGAAGTATATTTGGAACAACTTGGGTATGAATATTGACTTTTTAACTCTACATTTTATGAAATCTAAATACAGATCAAGTATTCTGGATGAAAATTTAGCATTCAAATTGAGATGTGCTGTAAGTGTAAAATACACACTTAATTTCAAAGACTTGGTATCAAGGATGTAAAACACCTCAATAACAATTTTTATATTGATTACATAAAACAACAATTTTTGGATATAGTGATTCAAAGAAAATATATTATTAAAATTAATGTTACCCATTTTTTGTTAATTTTTTAATGTAGTTACTAAAATATTCAAAATTACGTAGGTGGCTCAAATGATATTTCTGTTGAACAGCACTGGCCTGGACAATAAGTCAGATGGAATTGAGAGCTCTTCCCTTCTTCTGGCAGGATGAGCTGAACTGGATCTCAGCCTTCAGTCCCTGACTGTAAGTTTCTGTGAACCCAAGGTCCCCAGGAGCAGGGCAATTGGCTTTTCCAGACAACCGGCCATGAAAGTCCTATAGTCTGTTAGTATCTGTATTAGTCTGTTCTTTCACTGCTAATAAAGAACAGCCCAAGACCAGGTAATTTATAAAGGAAGGAGGTTTAATTTATTCAGAGTTCCACATGGCTGGGGAGGCCTCAGGAAACTTACAATCATGGTGGGAGGTGAAGGGGAAGCAATCATGTCCTTCTTCACATGGAGGCAGGAGAGAAAAGTGCAGAGCAAAGGTGGGCAAGCCCCTTATAAAACCATCAGATCTCATGAGAACTCATTCACTATCATGAGAATAGCATGAGGGTACTGTCCCCATGATTCAATTACCTCCCACCAGGTCCCGCCCCCAACACATGAGGATTACAATTCAGGTTACAATTCAAGATGAGATTTGGGTGGGGACACAGAGCCAGACCACATCAGTATCTATCCCCTTTAATACTTTTCCTTAAGATGAGAGATCAACAAGGAAGAAGGTTCTGCTCCCAGAATGTGCACCCACAGTGTGTCCAACACAATGCCCTACAGCCAGCACATCTTGCTGTGGACATGACAAATATTACATCTGACTGAACCTTGCATTGTTTCCCTAATAAAGCCTTTCTTTATAAAGCAGAACTATAGGATTTGCCTTGGCTTAAGACAGATGGTGATCGCTAAAGGACCCACCTTGCACAACAGTGCCTCCTGGGAATACTTGAGCAGAATAATCCTAGGAAAAGCCCAAAATTTTCTACTAGTAGGAAGGTAGATACTCAAAGAGCATTGAGATTTGTGATCTTATCGTTAATGTAACACATGGTTACTTAACACAGGAGAAGCCAAGGATATACTGGGAACATCTGTAACCAGTGTTAGTCCCTTGAGTCACATTATCCCATAAAAACATAAGTGGTAGCAAAGCGAAGTTCCTGAACTAGCACACACAATGCATTTAACCAAGAACAAAGTAGAAACACAATACTATTTATATACTCCAGGGACAGAGAATTCCTTTCCACTAGCAGAGAAAGAGCTATCTATTGATAAGAAAATTGACCTCCATATAATGCTAATTAAATGAGAGCATCCAAATATATGCCAGGACACAGAATGGACATTAGGACAGTAATGTGAGGTAATACAGAAAGCATTGGCTTTCTCATTGTGTAATCCATATCTCAGTTACCAAATCCATGAAATGATGATAATAGTCCTCATATGTGTATTGAGAGCCCCCATATATTTTAATGGTATAAATAGTGTGTGACACATAATGGAGAGTCTAAATATTAGTGTCCTCCCTCTGAGATAGAAAGTAGAGTAAAAAACAGTCCCTGGCCTAAAGGAGTTAACACTATAGCAGAAGGGGCAGGCCTGCAAAGGACTGTCCTGAAATATCTCTGATAGTGCTGCCTGAGTACCTCTATGTGGCAGGGAGGAAGGAGCTGCTAGCTCTGCGTGGGTGTGTGAATGCAGGACAACCAGAAAATGAATGCTCAGAGGACAGAGGGACAGGAATATGACACCAAAGATGTATGAAATTGAACTAATATGAAGTGGTCCCAAAACAGGAAGTAGAAATGGCTTCCTTGAAAATAAAATTGCTTTCAAGCTATTTTATTGCCATTTGCCTTTCTCATAAATGTTTAACACAGAAAAGCCAGTTATTTGAGGTATTTAATGAGCTGTGGTCCAAATAATAACAATTTAAAACTAAAAATATATGTGCTCTACCAGAACTCTAGATCTTTTTAAGATAGAAGTATGTCTTCTCCCTTATACTTTACAACAAGGCAGGCTTTTTTTTCTATTCTAGCTCAAAATGTCAAATTTTTCCACCCTGCCTGCTTCATTCCCACTGTCACTGCCTTAGTTCAGACTTTTTCACATCTCCTACAAGTTGTCATTGCAGGTGGGCCCTGCCTCAATCAGTTTGCTGCTATAACAAATTATCATAAACTGGGTGGCGTAAACAACATTTATTACTCCTAGTTATGGAGTCTAGGAAGTTCAAGATCAAGGTGCTAGCAGATCTGATGTCTGGTGAGGCCCTCTTCCTGGCTTACAGATGGGTGCTTTCCTGCTGTATCCTCACCTGATAGAGAGTAGAAAAGGGAAGCAAGCTTACTGTGTATCTCTTTATGCAGACAATAATCCCATCATTAACTCTCTACCCTTATGACCTAATTACCTCCCAAAAGCTCCATCTCCTAATATCATCCCATTGAAGCTTAGGCTTTCAACACATGAATTTGGGGAGTCACAATGATGCACCCCATAACAGGTATTATTCTCCCTGATTTCTCCTCACTCCAATCCCTCCTCCACACCGTGATCAGAACAATCTTTATGAATCTCACGATCTGAATCTGCATGGGTGTATGAATGTCATACACTTTCACACCAGCAGCAGCTCCCTATTTCCACAAGAGATTCCAGACACTTTAAAGGCACTGAGATTTCAAGACCCAGCTCTACCTAACTTGCTGCCCTATCTTTTGGGTAACCCCACCCTGGAGCACCCCATATTTCAGGACGACGGGTACCTGTATTAGTCCGCTTTCTCACTGCTGGTAAAGACATACCTGAAACTGGGCAATTTACAAAAGAAAGAGATCTATTGGGCTTACAGTACCACATGGCTGGGGAGGCCTCACAATCATGGCAGAAGGCATGGAGGAGCAAGTCACATCTTACATGGATGGCAGCAGGCAAAGAGAGGGCTTGTGCAGAGAAACTCCCATTTTTAAACCATCAGATCTCATGAGACCCATTCACTAACACAAGAACAGCACAAGAAAGACCTGGTCCCATGATTCAATAACCTCCCACCAGGTCCCTCCCACAACACATGAGAATTCAAGATGAGATTTGGATGGAGACACATCCAAGCCATATCATTCCACCCCTGACCCCTCCCAAATCTCAGGTCTTCACATTTCAAAAGCAATCATCCCTTCCCAACAGTCCCCCAAAGTCTTAACTCATTTCAACATTAACTCAGAAGTCCACAGTCCAAAGTCGTCTCACTGAGACAAGGCAAGTCCCTTCCACCTATAAGCCTGTAAAATCAAAAGCAAGTTAGTTACTTCCTAGATACAATGGAGGTACAGGTATTGGGTACAGCCATTCCAAATGGGAGAAATTGGCCAAAACAAAGGGGCTACAGGCCCCATGCAAATCCAAAATCCAGAAATACAGTGAAATCTTAAAGCTCCAAAATGATCTCCTTTGACTCCATGTCTCACATCCAGGTAACACTGATGCAAGAGGTGGGTTCCCATTGTCTTGGGCAGCTCCATCATGGTGGCTTTGCGGGGTACAGCCTCCTTCCCAGCTGCTTTCACAGACTGGTGTTGAGTGTCTGTGGCTTTTCCAGGCACACGGTGTAAGCCGTCGATGGATCTACCATTCTGGGGTCTGGAGGATGGTGGCCTTCTCACAGCTCCACTAGGCAGTGCCTCAGTAGGGACTGTGTGTGGGGACTCCAACCCCACATTTCCCTTCCCAACTGTCTTAGCAGAGGTTCTTCATTAGAGCCTTGCCCCTGCATCAAATCTGTCTGGACATCCAGGCATTTCCATACATCCTCTGAAATCTAGGAGGAGGTTCCCAAACCTTAATTATTGACTCTTGTGCACCTGCAGGCTCAACACCATATGGAAGCTGCCAAGGCTTGGGGCTTGCACCCTCTGAAGCCATGGCCCAAGCTGTACCTTGGCCCCTTTTAGTCATGTCTGGAGCAGCTGGGATGCAGGGCACCAAGTCCCTAGACTGCACATAGCACGGGGACCCTGGGCTCAGCCCATGAAACCATTTTTTCTTGCTAGGCCTCTGGGCCTGTGATGGGAGGGGCTGTTGTGAAGACCTCTGACATATCCTGGAGACATTTTCCCTGTCTTGGGGATTAACATTTGGCTCCCTGTTACTTATGCAAATTTCTGCAGCTGGCTTGAATTTCTCCTCAGAAAATGAGATTTTTCTCTTCTATTGCCTTGTCAGGCTGCTAATTTTCCAAACTTTTATGCTCTGTTTCCCTTTTGAAACCGAATGCCTTTAACAGCACCCAAGTCACCTCTTGAATGCTTTGCTGCTTAGAAATCTCTTCCACCAGATGCCCTAAATCATCTCTCTCAAGTTCAAAGTTGCACAAATCTCTAAGGCAAGGGCAAAACGCCACCAGTCTCTTTGCTAAAACATAACAAGACTCACCTTTGCTCCAGTTCCCAACAAGTTCCTCATGTCCATCTGAGACCACCTGAGTCTGGACTTTATTGTTCATATCACTATCAGCATTTTTTGTCAAAGCCATTCAACAAGTCTCTAGGAAGTTCCAAACTTTTCCACATTTTCCCATCTTCTTCTGAGCCCTCTAAACTGTTCCAACCTCTGCCTGTTACCAATTTCCAAAGTTGCTTCCACATTTTCAGATATCTTTTTAGCAGCACCCCACTCTACTGGTACCAATTTACTATATTAGTCCATTTTCTCACTGCTGGTAAAGACATACCCAAGACGGGGCAATTTACAAAAGAAAGAGATTTATTGGGCTTACAGTTCTACATGGCTAGGGAGGCCTCATAATCGTGGCAGAAGGCAAGGAGGAGCAAGTCACATCTTACATGGATGGCAGCAGGCAAAAGACAGGGCTTGTGCAAAGAAATTCCCATTTTTAAAACCATCAGATCTCCTGAGACCCATTCACTATCACAAGAACAGCATGGGAAAGACCTGCCCCCATGATTCAACTACCTTCCACCAGGTCTCTCCCACAACACATGGGAATTCAAGATGAGATTTGGATGGGGACACAACCAAACCATATTAGTACTACACCCTGATGATCTTCCCTATACCCTTTCCTTTCTTCCCCGCTCAGTCTTCAAATTCTCAACTCAAAATGTCCTCATTCTTTAAAACCTTCACCCAGTCACTTCCCTTCCCCAACATCCAGGCAGACTTAATCATACTTTACTTGATCTTCGTGTAACACTTTCTTCATACCACCAGCATAACTCTGGTCATGTCATATCATATAAGAATGAATTGTGTACACATTATTTTTCTCCATTACAGTGTGTACTTTTAGAGAGCAAGGATTTTTTTTCTTTTTGTCCCCAAAGCTCCTCCAGTTTCTAAAATAGAGTGAATTCTCCATGAATATTTATAGGAAAGAAGGGGAAGATGAAAGAGAAGGAAAGAGTGTTTAGCAATTGGGTTTAAAATCTAAAACAACTGGTTTTTAGCCTAGTTCCTAGAAATGCTGTTGCCGCACTGTGTTCCAGGACAACCCACATTGTTTTTCTGAATATCACTCACCCCATCTGCAAAATAGAAATAATAATATTATATCTTACTTCCTTGGAACTGTTAAGAGAATAAATGAATTGAAAGAGTGGCTTTAAAATACCAATTTTGAATTGAGTCTGCAGTCATTCTATTTCTTAAAAAATGTACTATTGAGAAAAGAAAAATTGGAAATTTTCTCTAAATATTTATTGAAAAAAATTCTCTTTTGTTGAATAATGAGAGGAGATAAAACATGCCACAGTTCCAACTCTTCCACCTTTATTAATGAATTAAGCCACACCAAAATTCAATAAAAAGGGTATAAGAGGCTCCTAAGAATCATTCACATTTTATCAGTCATTTTCCTTCCATAAAATGAGCATTTCTATTAAAATGATATTACACAAAAATGGAATTTTAATGTGTGGAGATTCTTTAAAATCATGACACCACCTGGTAAAAGGTAGGCTTAATACTGCTTTTCCCTCCATAGAAATTAGAAATGAAAGAAATTAGACATGAATGAAATTAGAAAATGCAAAACCAAAATAGCCACAGAATAAATTGTGCTACCCAAATTTGGAAGTGTCAGGCATCCAACTCAAAGATGCCAATAGTTAAAAGCGTTAGGCTCTGCATCAGCTTTGACCATAGGAAACGAGAAATTGTTCACGAATAGAAGGTCCCATGGGTTATGCAGGAAGGCACAGCCACAAGTGAAGGAGCAGTGTGTGACGAGGAAACAGGGATTCTGCCATCCCAGCACAGCTGAAAACAGGAAGAACTTGCCAACAAGGTAGATGCCATGAGAAAGAGTCTTCTTAGGCAAAAAGTAGAGCAAAGTTGAAAGGATGGTCATTCCAGAGAGAAATGGACTCTTCAAAGAACAGGAAAAGGGCATATTTGGTAAAATTGTGTCAGTGTCAAGCTTTGATGTCATTTTCTTTTTTTCTTTTTCTTTTTTTTTTTTTGAGATGGAGTCTCGCTCTGTCACCAGGCTGGAGTGCAGTGGCGCCATCGCGGCTCACTGCAACCTCCGCCTCCTGGGTTCAAACGATTCTCCTGCCTCAGCCTCCCGAGTAGCTGGGATTACAAGCATGTGCCACCACACCCAGCTAATTTTTCTATTTTTAGTAGAGATGGGGTTTCACCATGTTTTCCAGGAGAGTCTCAATCTCCTGACCTCATGATCCACCTGCCTTGGCCTCCCAAAGTGTTGGGATTACAGGCGTAAGCCACTGCGCCTAGCCTGATGTCATTTTCAAAACATGACTATGATGATCAATAGAAAGGATTGCAATAAGCATTAAGCTTCATTCACTGTAAATATGTTGGAACATAAATATTTATCTTGATAATTACTGAAGATTTTCAATATGAAAAGAAAAAATGAAAAATATATGTGAGAACACATGACCCAACAAACAAGAATCTTCCAGGGTATAAGCCGAGTACCTTAGAGCATGCATCGCCTGTGTTGTTCCCCCAGAAGCAGGTAAGAAAATAATTTCTCTTACACCCAACGGCTCCCAAGTTTACTACATGAAAAACTAGGCCTCCCAAGGGACCACGAGGTTAAGAGTCACTGTTAAGAGTCTTTTACAAACAGGAAACATCTAGCTCTAGCTCAAAGCACTCAATGTACTTAAGAAATCTACAAGGCTACAAATCACTGTTACTACTATGTCCCACTTGCCTTTTTCACCTCACTGCCAGATAGCAATACTGACAACATCTTACATTTGAAAAGCTGGCCCCAGTTCCCAAAGCACTTCACATGCATTAGCTCCTTTGATCTTCGACACAGCCCTGCGCAGTAGGCAGGGCAGTTATTTTCCTAATGAAAAAACAAAAGCTCAGAGAAAGAAGGTCATACTCCCAGAAAGAGGCACATTGAAGATAAAAATCCAAGTCTTCTGGGTCCAAACCTGCTGTAGGTCCCATTTCCATTATAAGTTACATAATGATCATGAGAATAGCTCAAGTTTCCCAGAAAGAGCAAAACCCTTAACAAGTGCTCCTAAACTTTTCCAGAACCTCTTAGAGAAGTAGAGGCTGTGTTTTAATATTTGGAGTGGAAGGGACCAGGATGGGCTGAATTTCTCACGTGAAAGGCATTGGCAGCAGGCTCAGGCTGCAGATGGACAGAGGAAGAGACCAGGGTGCAATGCTACAAGCGGGGATTAAACATCAAGATCAGAAAGAGAACAGCTGTAGCCCCTTCACATTATAGTTTTAAAATTCCAAGCGTGTAAAGAACCATAAAAATCACAAGTAGGCCCTGGATCATAACAGATGAATAAGGGATTTATAATCTTTAAACTGCAAGGAGAATGGCTTACATTTGTACCATTTCCTATTTTGATTACGATCATTGTCCTGAGAGCAGATTCATGTTGTGCCTTTTCTGATTCTTTTTGCAATCCATCACAAGGAGACAACGGAATGGTAATGTTGCTGTACATTCCTTGAAGACAATAAAAGCCTGTGTAACTTGCAACCTTTCCATTTGTTTTGCTTTTTGTTTTCTGGTTTTGCTTGTTTATCATAATTTGATTGGGCAGTCATTTTCTTTTGTGGCCTGTTAGCCACCTCATTAACCTGGAAGGGTGAGATGGTCTGGACAATTAGCATCCAGAATATTAAAAAGGTTAAAGCCAAAAAGCCTGCTGCTGAGTGTTTTTCATAAACAAGCTGAGGTTTTAAATGCTGATATCTTGTTCCATGTTCACGGTTTATAATCATAAGAAACGACACAAAGCGAGGCTCTTCCTGAATGGTTTTTAAATGACATTCTTCTAATGCTTTCTGGCCATACGTACTTTATGTACCAGTAACCCAGGGGAAATTTCTACCCTTCCCTTTCCTACAACACCCTACTACAATAGAATGCTCTTTATTCCTTAGTAGGGAATTTTTTCAGCTCAATCTGTTTTCCTGCATGTATTAAAGGAACTTCTATCAAATTGATAAGGACTGCTATCACAAACAAAAATCTTGATTTTTCTAGAAATTTCCTGTTCATGAAATGCAGTGTGAAGGTATCAAAGCTCATATGCAAAGAAACAAATGCAAGTATCTTGGATCCAATGCCTCTGGGCTCTATTCTGGCTATTAATTGTTAGTGCCCACAGTGGGGCCACGGCAGTGTGCACTTACTTGTATTATTGTGCTATATATGGAAAACTATAGCTGCACCAGAGAAAGAGAAATGAAAAAAGAAGACACAGATTATGTTACATTTTTTAAGTGTTATTCAAATCCCAAAAGTGGGTAACTGAAAGGATAACATAAAAATCCAGTGATTTCAAAATTAAAAAGGAGACCTTTTTCTTCTCTTTGTTGATTTCTTTTTCCTCTTGGTCCAGCGGTACTGCTTATCCTTTTATACCATAGAAAATATATCAAGCATAAGAAATTGGTATGATGCTGACAACTGACCTGATTGAAGAATTGCACTCCCATACCCATCACTTATGTTATCCTCTATCTGCTCTTGGATGGCTTTATACACAGGTGACATTTCGGACCTATGAGGTGTTTGCTCTTGGAGGCTGCAAAATGGGGTAAATCCTATCATATGTAGCATTAGAGCATTTCTGCATAGTGTTTTATGATGGATGTGGTAGCCTCAGGAACTCCAGTTGGATATATAAACAGCCTCTTGTTTGTTATTTTAATTGTGGTCATTAAACAAATGTAAATGAAATGTGCACTCTGCTCTTCATTATTTGCATGTAGATTTGGCAAGCAATACTTGAAAAAAAAAATCACCCAGTTCTTTTATAATCATTACTATTCTCAGACAGTAAAATAACTCTTTCATTTATTCATTCATTTATTCCACAAATATTTACTGAACATATACTATGCACAAGGCAGTGTGAAAAGGTAGCAAGCGTGGGATATACAAAAATGGCAAGGAGATAGTGCTTGCTCTCAAAAAGCATATAGTCTAGTGGGAAGAGAAATATAAACAGTTAAATTACAGAACTATCTGTGTGTTGTTGTAAAATTCAAAATCAAATAAAAATCTATGCCAAGAGACCCAAGCAGGCATGTTTAACATAGAAGATGTGCTATTTGAGTTGGATTTTAAAGGATGAGTAGGACATTTCCAAATGGAGAAAGCTCAAAGGAATCCCTGATCAAGGAAAGAGCAAAAGAGATGTATACAGAGGGAACACAATTTTATTTCCGGCCTAAGCAAAATATAATTAAGTAAAGGATATCTACTTTTCATCGCCTCCCCATTCTCTTCCCTAAATCACATAACACAGGCAAAACTCCAGTACAAATAATTTGGAACTTTGCTTCTGTTCCTCTTTAGCGGTATGAACAAAGGTGAGATTTTGTTACTAATAACCACAAAACAGCAACTAACATGCTCTTTTCACACTGTCATCACCCTTGATCTCACAGGTCTTAGGAATTAATCAAACCAAACTTGTTGAGTATTGCCAAGTAACTAAGACTTACCCAGGTGAGTAATAAATGGTTAAGCCAGGCCGGGCACACTGGCTCACTCCTGTATTCCCAGCACTTTGGGAGGGCGAGACGGGTGGATCACCTGAGGTCAGGTGTTCGAGATCAGCCTGGCCAATGTGATGAAACCCTGTCTCTACTAAAAATTCAAAAATTAGCTGGGCGTGGTGGCAAGCATCTGTAGTTCCAGCTACTCGGGAGGCTGAGGTGGGAGAATTGCTTGAATCCGGGAGGCGGAGGTTGCAGTGAGCTGAGATTGCGCCACTGCACTCCAACCTGGGTGACAGAGCTAGACTCTGTCTCAAAAAAAAGTAATAATAAAATAAATGATAAAGAAAGAAAGAAATATTTAATCCAGGGCATGAGACATTTTCAAAGGGGTCAGCCAAAATTTCAGGCCACAGGGTCTTCAGCTGTAGTATTGCAAGAACTGGCTGAGCAAATGGCTCCTGCCTTCCTACACCTTATGAATATCTCCAGTGCAGTTATGCCACGGGTCATAGAACAGGGCAACTTCTCAAGGGGTTGATTACTGCCATGGTAATCAAGCTATGTGGTAATCAAGCTTTGTTTTCTAAGAACAAAATGAAAACACATGATCTGGTAAGAAGACCTAATATGTGAATGCAAAAACAACTTGCCAAACTTTCAAGATGGAAGGGTATAGCAACCATTTCCCCAGGGAGGATCTGCTCTCTATACCAGTTGCTATGGTTTGAATACTCCCTCTAAAACTTATGTTAACATTTACTACCATTGTGATGGTATTAAGAGGTGGGACATTTAAGAGGTGATTAGGCCATGACCCCCATAAACATATTACTGCTTTTCTCTTGGGAAGGAATTGATTACCTTGGGAGTCTGGCCTCCTTCTTCCCTCTGTCTTGTGTACTCACTTCTGCCTTCTGCCATGGGATAAGGCCCTTGCCAGATGCCAGCACCATGCTCTGAGACTTGTCAACCTTCAGAATCAGAAGCCAAATAAAACTCTGTTCATTACAAATTACTTTGTCTGTAGTATTCTGTTATAGCAGCAGAAAACAAACTAAGACACATCAGTGCTGTGCAATAAAAATGTAATGAGTTGTCACGAAGGTGAACCACATATACAATTTTTAATTTTTATAGCAACATTTAAAAAGTTAAAAAAGATACAATTTTGATAATATATTTTATGTAGTCTAATCTATCCAAAATATTATAATTTTTTAATGTAAGCATAATTTTAAAGTATTAATGAGACATTAATGACTGTTTAACATTGAGTACCTGTTTTTCATTTACAGTACATCTCAATTTGGACTAGCCACATTGCAAGTGCCCAATAGTCACATATATCTAGCAGCTGTGGTATCAGACAGTACAGGTCTGTACAAAAGCATCTATCTGTGTTCCTCCCTTCCCTGAACCACTCTGCATTGGTAGTCATCTCCAAATAATCAAAGGGCTAGCCAGTGTTAATCAAGACTCTGGCTCAAGATATATGATAAATCTCCTTTGTTCTCTCATTTATTCACTTCGCAAACATTGGTTCAGCAATTATTATTATGTACCAAGTAATGTGCTTAATGTGGTAACACGAAATAAAGCTGGATCTCTACTTTCACAGTGTAGTTGAGGAGAAACAAGTCAGACTATAATAATACGATGCGTTGAGTTATTTGACAGTGTGTGCACAGGGGGCCTCAGAAGCCCAGAGGCAAATCAGGGAATGAACAGAGAATGGAGGGAAGCTGGAAAATCACTCACTGCAGGACTAGTGAAAGTCCTCAAAGAGTTCGAGGTAGAAGTTCTAAAAACTATGGCTGTCTTGCAAAATAATGGCCTATCTCAGGGATAGGCAAATTATGCCCGTGAGCCAAATTCAGCCCATCGCCAGTTTTTGTAAATAAAGTTTTATTGTAACACAGTCATACCCATTGACTTACATATTGTCCATAGCTGGTTTCCTACATTAGCAGGTTTAGTAGTTACATTAAAATAAAAACCCAAGGGCCTGCAAAACCTAAAATATTTACTGTCTGGCCCTTTGTTGAAAAAGTTTGCTGAGACTGTGATATTTTCATTATAGGAAATATTCAAGTAGAGGCTGGATCTATCCAGGGTATAGAAGGAATATGTTCTTTAAAAGGGAGAATGGTAACCTTTACAGTTCCTTCACTCTGGACAGGTCTGTGATTATAGGCCTGCTTTTCTATGACAAAAACAAGTCATACTCCCTCATTTATATTTGACCGACATCCCTATCATGGGCAGCATTGCAAGTTGTAGAAAAGGAAGTCATTCCCTATATGACCATGGTTTAGGTAATGCACCTGACTTCTTATATACAGTTTACTGCCGCTCTAAATAATCAAGAAAATAAATTTTTGGCTTCCAGCATCACCAAGCCACTATCATAGGAAATGCTGCAATTAATTTGAAGGAAGTCCAGGGGACAGCAACCTGACCTGCCACTGACTGCATTTACCAGCAGACTAAAAACCAGGCTTTCCCTCTTGACCACAGATATTAATCATGGGGCAGCCCTTCAACCTTTGTTGTTCTTTACGAGGCTGGATGGTCACTGCAGAGAAGGAAGCCACCTCTGAGATTACCTCTTCAGCAGTCACCATAGCACATTTCTGGTATCACCAGTAGTATGTTGTTCGGCAAATAGTGGAGGCACAGAAGCAAATCACAAAGACTCCGTTTTAAAATGTCTACAAGAGCTACCCCCAACGGCACTTATGTTCATTCCATCCCCTCTTTAAGTGTCTCCTCACTAAATATGTCAAGTCTCAGATGATGCTCACAGGTGAAGGTAGCTAAAAAGACCCCAAAGCATTTGGGGTAGAAAATTATTTATAGCTGCTGTTTACTTCTCTCCAGCAGTCGCCTTGGAAATACTTACAGGTTTAAAGTAAATCCTCCTTCTTTCCCTCCTGTCCTCATGAAGGGATTCCCTTCCTCCTTGTTTACTATGGCTGCTGTACCAATGAGCTGCACTCCTGCTCTCAGACTTTTGCTGATTCTTGTTATCAGTCTGAAGAAACCGGCTGTTTTAAAAGAAAAGGCGGCGGTGAGGGGGGAACACTCTCCAGCATTGGGTAGTATAAAGGGAGGATCATGTAAGTTATAGCTATCTAGGGCCAGCTGGTGAGAATACTTGGCATTTGTTCTCCCCCACGCCCAGCCCCCAGGCTGAGGGATACCTGCAACAATAAAAAATAATAGAAGATTTGCTCCCATGAAGCCTTTACTGAAATGCTCCACTGGAAAGACTGACTGTAGGTTGGGAGGAGGGGAAACGTTCCATCAGTGGGATTCAGAGTGATGTTCCCTCTTCTAAATTATCCCACGGCATGAATCAGCTGAACCAGTCCATGGCATTTCTCAAATCCTGCTCTACTCTGTTGTCTGCGTGTATGTGTTTCATTCACTCAAACAGTGTCTAAAAATTCCTTAAAGGCATTATAATCCCACATGTTCTTTTGCGTACTTCCGGTGGCTCCTAACACAGGGTCTACACCCTGAATTCATTTGAAAACTATTTTTTGATGTACTACTTTTGAGGCCTGTAAGCTAGTGTGAATACATTTTAAGAATTTTAAAGGTTTTAAGAGTAACCAGAACACAGAAGAGAAGGAGCAGACTTTTTAATCCTTCCTCACTGTGACAGGCAGTGTAATAGCCTCCCGAAGATGTCCAAGTTCTCATCTCCAGAACCCATAAATGTGTTATGTCACATGGTAAGGGAGAATTAATATTGCAGTTGAATTAAGATCGCTAATCTGCTGATATTAAAACAGGAAGATTATCTGAATGGCCTCAATGTAATCACAAGGGTCCTTAAAAATAGAAGCAAGAAGCAGAAGAAGAGCTAGAGCATCCTATGTGAGAAAGCCCTACAGCCATTGCTGGATCCGAAAATGAAATGGGTCCATAAGTCAAGCAACACAAGCAGGCTCCAAGAACTGGAAAAGGCAAAAAAACAGATTGTGCCCCATAGCTTCCAGAAGGGAATGCAGCCCTGCCAACTTCTTGCTCTTAGCCCAGGTCTGACCTCCAGAACTGTAGGAGGCCATGATTATGTTGTCTTAAGCCACTAAATTAATGGAAATTTGTTACAGAAGCAGTAAAAATCCAAGGCATTCAGCTAAGACTTAGGCAAAAAGAAGGAAGTTTAATATTTGAGGCATTTCCTTCCTGATAGATTCTGCCTTCAAGAGAACCGTAAATCCTGTATGACCAGATGGTTTCTATGTAATAAGGACTGAAGAGCCAAGTGACTACAGGGCAAAATCTTCGGCCTCCAAGACCCTTGTATGTTTCAGGCAATACACACTATGGGAGGTAGAACTAGCCTTGTTCTTGTATGGAATGAACAGTTGCTTCTGCAGTATGATTTCATGTGGAAGGATAAGGGTTTCCCCAACTACTTCCCTAGAAATGTCCCTCCCACTTCTCTACTGGGATCTGAGACCTAGGAAAGTAATATCACAGCCAGCTGAATAGGCTATCATCCCTGCTTTCTGTAAGAAAGTCTTTTATCTGTGGATATCAAGGATCTAGTTTTCACAATGCTATAGTGCCTGGATGACAAAATGTCCATTGAAAAGTGGTGTCCCCAAACCTGATAAGCAGTGGATGTTAATTGAGATAGGTTAACAGCCGTTGATACTGGCTGGAAACGCAAGGGAGCACATGGAGACACAGATGTTTGCCAAGCCAGAGAGGAGAATAGAAAGAATTGGACTCCAAAGACCATTTTTGCTACACTACAATTTTGCTTCCTGTCAACACTTAAAGGGGCAGGCTTCCCAATTCAGTCTGTATCAAGTTGATTAGCCTGAAAGGGCTGCAGAAGCTGCCTCCATTCCATTTTCCCAGTGAAATAGGAGCCTCCAGGGTTCTTGAAATTGCTCAGTACCGAGGTACAAGTCTAAAGCATTTATGGGAGTTGGCCTGTAGCCCACTTCTTATGAATACACATAAACACACCTTTTATTGCTCAATAATGCTTTCCCTTTTGCAACTTTTTATGAACCACTAAAAAAAACTGGGGCTTTTATTTTAATTTTTTCAGAAAAAAATACAGAAATACCAAATCTTCCCAATGGGAACTTCTCTTGCCTGCTGTCTCAACTAAAAATTATTTGTCCAGAGAGTGGTCAAAGCTTCAGCATTGACAACTCAAGATATTAATTTGGTCCAAATCCAACTGATTTGCTTTCCAGACTGAGCTGCTGCATTCCTCTTTATGAGCCTTCTCTGGGGTGCTTAAGGTACAATGCAGCAGAATTCATCAGCTCTATATGCCTGTGGGATGTACTCCCCACCAGCTCTGTTGCAAATCAGCATTCTCTCCCATTGGCTCCTATCCAGAAGAACAAAATGCCCTTTCATCCATGCATATCTCTTCATTTCCACTTCCACACCATGAGTCCAAACCTTCATGACCACCTGCCTGGACCAATACAATAGCTTCCTAACTGGTCTCCCTATCTCTAATATCCACATTCTCCAATTTATGACCACATTGCTGCCAGAGTAATCTTAAAGAAGAGATGTAATCATATTACCCAGTTCAGATGTTTTAATAGTTCTCCCCTTTTCACCAAGTGAAATTCAATCTCCTTAACCTGTCATTTGACTTCAGACCACCTGGCTCCCAATTACCTTTCCAGATGCGTCACTCACTACTCTCCTTCATGCATTCTGCACTGCTGACACTATGGAAGGTTTGGCATTCTGCAGTGTAGCCCACACATGGATTTACTTTTGGCACTTCACAGTCCTTTGTTTCAAGCCACAAAAACTGATTTTGGCTACCTTAGAAAAATGGGGATATACCGGAAGGATGTGTAGAAATTCACAGAAACTGAAGTGTTAGGCTTAGAAAGCTCAGTTTGGGGTTGGGGGACAAGATCTCAGAGTAACAAAAACTGTGGGACAATCTTTTCAGGGCACAACCAGAGTGAACAAATGAGGGCCACATTATTGCTTTTTTTTTTTTTTTTTTTTTTGCCACTCTGCTCAGATTACAGAGAAAATCCAATTGACCTGGCTTTAGCTAGAGGAAATCAGAGCATCTCTGTAAATAATATTTTGTGAACTTTACCCAATGGATGGAGAGAATTTCCCCAACCGTAAATCAGAGTGTTGGGTATAAAAAACAAATAATAGAGGCTGGGCAGCCAAACGCAAGAAATATCTATGACACATTATCCTCACCTGGAATTCTTGGTTTCTAAATGCCCAAACTCTGCTCTTCCTTCAAGACCCAGTGCAGACACCATTTTGAAGCCTGAGCTCATCTCTCATGTTGCCAGTTCTAGTTCAGAGCATGTTCCTCGCTTCCAGTTCTCTTTACTTTCTGCCTTGTTTTAAAGTTATTATTCTCTTTTTCACTTTGCAATGAGAAAATCTTTATAATGAAAGTCAGCTCCCCTTGTGTCCGGAATTGGTGGGTTCTTGGTCTCACTGACTTCAAGAACGAAGCCGCGGACCCTTGCGGTGAGTGTTAACAGTTCTTAAAGGCGGCGTGTCCGGAGTTTGTTCCTTCTGATGTTCGGATGTGTTCAGAGTTTCTTCCTTCCGGTGGGTTCGTGGTCTCGCTGGCTCAGGAGTGAAGCTGCAGACCTTCGCGGTGAGTGTTACAGCTCTTAAGGCGGCGCGTCTGGAGTTGTTCGTTCCTGCCGGTGGGTTCGTGGTCTCGCTGGCTTCAGGAGTAAAGCTGCAGACCTTCACGGTGAGTGTTACAGCTCATAAAGGCAGTGTGGACCCAAAGAGTGAGCAGCAGCAAGATTTATTGCAAAGAGCAAAAGAACAAAGCTTCCACAGTGTGGAAAAGGACTCCGGTTGCCACTGCTGGCTCCGGCAGCCTGCTTTTATTCTCTTATCTGGCCCCACCCACATCCTGCTGATTGGTAGAGCTGAGTGGTCTGTTTTGACAGGGTGCTGATTGGTGCGTTTACAATCCCTGAGCTACAGACAAAGGTTCTCCACGTCCCCACTAGATTAGCTAGATACAGAGTGTGGACACAAAGGTTCTCCAAGTCCCCACCAGAGTAGCTAGATACAGAGTGTGGATTGGTGCATTCACAAACCCTGAGCTAGACACAGGGTGCTGATTGGTGTATTTATAATCCCTGAGCTAGACATAAAGTTTCTCCACGTCCCCACCAGACTCAGGAGCCCAGCTGGCTTCAGCCAGTGGATCCCACACCAGGGCTGCAGGTGGAGCTGCCTGCGAGTCCCGCGCCGTGCGCTGGCACTCCTCAGCCCTTGGGTGGTCGATGGGACCGGGTGCCGTGGAGCAGGGGGCGGTGCTCGTCCGGGAGGCTCAGGCCACACAGGAGCCCACGGAGGGGGTGGGAGGCTCAGGCATGGCGGGCTGCAGGTCCCGAGCCCTGCCCTGCGGGAAGGCAGCTAAGGCCCGGCGAGAAATGGAGCACAGCGCAGGTGGGCTGGCACTGCTGGGGGACCCAGTACACCCTCTGCAGCCGCTGGCCCGGGTGCTAAAGCCCCTCATTGCTCGGGGCCGGCAGGGCCGGCCGGCTGCTCCGAGTGCGGGGCCCGCCAAGCCCATGCCCCCCCGAAACTCCAGCTGGCCCGCAAGTGCCGCGCGCAGCCCCGGTTCCCACTCGCGCGTCTCCCTCCACACCTCCCTGCAAGCTGAGGGAGCAGGCTCCGGCCTTGGCCAGCCCAGAAAGGGGCTCCCACAGTGCAGCGGTGGGCTGAAGGGCTCAAGTGCCGCCAAAGTGGGAGCCCAGGCAGAGGAGGCGCCGAGAGCTAGCGAGGGCTGTGAGGACTGCCAGCACGCTGTCACCCCTCACCCTCGCTATGCTTCAGTTTCTGGGTCTATAAAAAGGATATAATAACTATTCCATGGGATCATTGTGAGTAGGATTAATGTCTGTACATAATGAAATTAGTTCAGTGCCTAACATGCAGTAAGCTCTCCATATATGTTAGCTGTTGTTATTATCATTTTTACTTAGTTGTCACCATAATCATTATTAATACATAACTCTTTGAGACCAGGAACTGTGATTTATTCATCTTTAGAGACCCCAGTCAAATATTTTGTACACGAAAGCTCTTCGTTACTCCTGGTGAATGAATGACTCAGTCAATAAAGCAATCAATCAGTGAAGGAAGAAAAAATTTGGAAGCTGAAATTGAAACTAGGATTTGAGTAAGCCTGCCCTTTCTATTTTTTCCAGACAATAAGGAGGCCTCAACTATAAAAGCAAGGATCATAATAGATGTTCCAGTAAATAGACAAGAATAAGGTCTCACACTGAACATTCATTCCATGGTTCTGAGGCAATTGGAAATAAAGCCCCAGTTCTGTTTGTTCTTTTGCAGCAATAGTCTATGCCTGCAGGAGACTATAAAATTGGAAATGAAAGGAAAGAAGTGATGGAGGGAGGGGGGAGAGAGAACATTAATAGGCATTAGTAGGAATTTTAGGGTGGCCCAGGGTGACAGGCAACACATACACATACCAGCCCGAGTCCTAGTTCTCTAACTCTGCCAGTGGCCCCCTTAAAAGACATCCTTGTTTGCTGCCACTGCATACAATAGTCATGGATGCTTTTCAGGTGTCACTTGGTTACCATGATGGGTCTGTCATCTATTAATTTATCTAAACCTTCTTCAAATCCATTTATATGTTCAGCCTCTGCTACTTTCCACTTGGATCTTAAAGCTTTGCTTAAGTCTCATCTTGGTGGCCAGGGATAGATGAGGAAAAAGCAAGCCCTTCCAACCGAGAGCTAGAGAAAATTACATTTAAACCTTAGCCATGCCGCTCCCTCAACACTCTTGGACCAGGAATTTGCTCTCCTTCCTTCACTTTGATCCATTTAAAATTGACATAATAATCTCAGATGAGTGCATTAAAGGTTAATTAGATTTTAACATTTTCGTGCCACTCAGAATATGATGAAGATTATATAAATGTTACATCACATTATAGATCCTGGATAAGAATCCTTTTTTAGTTTGACTAAATTTATATTTCTACCTGTTCACTCCCCTGCCCTCCGCGTCACTATACTTTCACACACCCTGGATAATCCCTGCAGGGCCCCAGCATGTGTAGATTATGCCCTGCTCTATTCTAGAGGATGACACTCACATCCTGTCGATCATACATCTGCCCATTCCGTACGAAAATTTGCAGACAAATAGCAGTCAAGTGTCCTGAAGAAGCAGCACCTTTTTCTGCTTCGCTGGATTTGAGACATCAGTATGTATTCACCCACTTCATCCTTGGGCCTTTAAACAAGCTGCCATTTACAAACTAGGTTCAAGAGAGTGAAATGGTATTTTAAACATAATGCACATGTAGTAGTTACCTCCTGCAGCTGACTTCCCACTCAGTACATAGGCCTTTGATTGGAGCTGTTCCTCATGGAGTGGATTTGGGGGCCCAGCACTTTCTCTTCCAACCCTGGTTCTGGGTCCAGAAGATATACTCTTAGGCAGGTCTAAAAATTAATCAAGCTTGGATGTCTTCTCTCCAGATCCTGCATTTCTGGCACAGAAATTTGTCTCAGTCTGAGTGAGAGGATGCCAGGCAAATCCACAGCACTAAATGTGGCTCCAATTAACAGCATCTTTTATTCTCTCCTCAAAGGGAGGTTGGCCCCTGGATCTGGCTCCTCGCAGGCATTGAACAGTATGTGCGTAACCCTCAGAGTGGAGCAGAAACACACCTCTTGTTTTGTTTCTGGATTTACTATTTTGAGTGGATTTAAGAAAAAAAAAAACGCTTTTTTTATTATTATTTTCCTCACTTCCCAATGCTTTTACTTCAGGTACATGCACACAAACATATAATAATCTCATCACACACACATACACACACATATCACCTATGTAAAACAGGATTTAACCATTTAACAGGAATGGCTGTGCATGTAACAGCCTTGGGAGTCAGAATTCTCTGGATGAAGTAAACAATCATCCATCAAGCATTTATTGAGCTCTTACTTAAAACTCAGCTTATTGACACTACAGGGGAGGCAAAATCCTTGCCCCAGGATAGGAATGGAAAGATGGCAAGGGACTTACTCTACTTAATCTCACTTTTTAAAATCTGTAGAATGAAGATAATAATGCTTACCTGCACAGAACATTAGCTAATTGAAGTAATACACATAAAATCTCCTAAGTAGCTAATAAATGTTCAATAAATACTTATGGAAGGCCCACTACACTAATTAATAAGACAAGCATTGTTCCTGCTTTCATGGAGCTTTTACTCTTATTAGACTCTTTTTTCCCTTGATAGGTTCTAGAGCAAAGGAGCAACCAGTGGTGGGCTAGAGGCAGCTTGTCCTGGCTTACAAGAGCCAATTATTAAATATTCAAAACCAGGCTGGGGATGGTGGCTCACACCTGTAATCCCAGCACTTTGGGAGGCCAAGGCAAACAGATCGCTAGAGGCCAGGAGTTTGGGACCAGCCTAGTCAGCATAGCAGGACTCCCTCTCTCCAAAAAGAAAAAATAATAAAATAAAAATAACTTGGCATGGTGGCATGCACCTATAGTCCTAGCTCCTAGCTACTCCAGAGGCTGAGCCTTCAGCCCAGGAGTTCCAGGCTACAGTGAGACACAACTGTGCCACTATACTCCAGTCTGGACAACAAAGTGAGACCCTGTCTCAAATAAATAAGTAAATAAATATTTAGAACTAGTTGTTAAACCATTGGTAACTTGAAATGTGAACTGCTTGTTAAACTATGGGTACCTTAAAATGTGGGAGTATTTATATCATATAAATCAACAAACCCTACAAATCAGGCTTCTTTTTGTTTGTTTCAGAAAGCCAGTTTTCCAGCACACCTTTGGGAGTAATAATATGAAAGAATGAAGAATATAGCATGGTGGTTAAAAAGAGGGGCCAGACATGGTGGCTCATTCCTGTAATCCCAACACTCTGGGAAGCCAAGGCAGGAGGATCGCTTGAGCCCAGGAGTCTGAGACTAGATTGGATAACATAGTAAGACGCCCTCTCTACAAATTTTTTTTTTTAATTAGCCGGGCACAGTGGCACATGCCTGTAGTCCCAGCTACTCAAGAGGCTGAGATGAGAGAATTGCTTGAGCCCAGGAGGTCAAGGCTGCAGTGAGCTATGATCACACCACTGCATTCTAGCCTGGGTGACAGAGAAAGACCCTGTCTCAAAATATTTAAGTAAATAAGAATCTAGAATTGGGCAGACAACAATTAGTATTCTAGCTCTACAATCTATAAGCTGTGAGACTTTGAACAAGTCATCAAGCTCCTCTGAACCTAATTATCCTCATTCATTAAGTGGGATAATAATGTAACTTAACTCACTTTAGTGTGCTTAAGTTGCCATAACAAAATACCATAGACTGGATGTTTATGGTTTTCTTGCATTTCTGGAGGCTAGAAGTCCAAGACCAAGGTGCCAGTCTAGTCATTTCTGATGAGGGCTCTCTTCCTGACTTGCAAATGACAGCCTTCTCATTGCTTCCCCATGTGGCCTTTCCTTGGTGTGTGCACACGGAGAAAGAAATCCATGTCTCTGGTGTCTCTTTTTATAAGGACACTAATCCTATCAGATCAGGGTCCCATGCTCATGACCTGATTTGACCTTAGTTACTTCCACAAAAGCCCCATTTCCAAATATAGTCAGATTGGGGGTTAGGGCTTCACCATATAAATTTGGGGGTGGACACAAGCATTCAATCCAAACACTACCTCCTAGGTTTATTCAGAAGGTAAAATGAGATGCAATATATAAATACAGTGCTTCCGAAGTACTCAATAAATATTGTCTATGATTACTACTACTTGTTAAATACGTGTATTAGTCCATTCTCTAATTGCCATAAAGAAATACCTGAGACTGGGTAATTTATAAAGAAAAAGGCTTAATTAGCTCATGATTCTACAGGGTATACAGAAAGCATGATGCTGGCATCTGCTTGGCTTTTGGGGAGGCCTCAGGAAACTTACAATCATGGCGGAAGGGAAAGGGAGAGCGAGCACCTCATGTGGTGGAAGCAGGAGGAAGCGGGGGTGGGAGGTGCCACACACTTTTAAACACCTAGGTCTTACGAGAACTCACTCACTATGTAGTACCAAGGGAGAATGGTGCTAAACCATTCATGAGAACTCTGCCCCATGATCCAATCACCTCCCACCAAGCCCCACCTCTAACATTAGGGATTACAATTCAACAAGAGATTTGGGCAGGGACAAAAATCTAAACCATATCAATACATGAGTCTGGCTTTGTGGGGTGGTGGGAAGGGATGTTAGAGAAGGCAAGCCTACAGGCAAACAATCAGGCTGTTGGAAAACCCCAGACAACTAAAATCTAGACAACAACAGATCTTATTAAGTAAAAAATTAATAAGATATAGAAATTACCAGTTATGAAGTCAAGAAGAAGAAGAAATGGTCAGAAATAGCTCTAGGGAGTCTGGGTAACTAGAAATTAGAAATTGATGAGAAAAGATGCTATAAGATAAGAATCAGATCTAGAAGAAAGATGAGAGAGAGCCACTGAAACAATTGAGAATTTAATATAATGGCCAAAAATATCTATTATCCAGATATTTCAGTTTATGACAATATGTATTTATTGATCAAATATTTATTGCGTTTCTACTATGTACAAGGCATTGTAAGGGATGCAAAAATGATCCAGAATGTAGACCCTGGGCTTGACGTGCATATGGCCTATTAAAGGAGAGAACATGAAAAGAAAATTGTCATGCAAGCTTGAAAGAGATTCAAATTAGGTGCAATGGACTTTCAAAAGAAAGGGAGGTGGCTCCATGCTGGGAAAGATTAGTATTTCATGAAAGCAGAGGTATGGGGCATAAAGGATAGATTGGATTTGAATAAATAGGAAGATAGGGATTCGGGTGGAGAAAGGCATCCTCAAAGAGACTTCCCTCTGGCATGAACAAACACACTGAGGTGAGAAAATACATTCAGGGGGCAGTTCATTCAGCCAAAGCATAGAAGGTCAACTGGGGAGTAGTAAGAAATCAAATTAGAATGCCATCAAAGATCAACAACAAAGGATCTCAAAATCTAGGTTACAGAATTTAAACTTGATTTAGTAGATAGTTGTATGTCCCTACTATGTTGTTCAAGTAAATATAAACATCTTTCACCCACCCATAATTGATATACTTAGATTCTTACATTCCACAAATCTCTAAATAATCTTTCATCAGCTGTGCTGACTTTAAGGTGCCTGATTCCTGGCATTCATCCTCTTGTAAGTCCCTCAGCAACCAAACTGCTCAAGATGATCCCACATTTCCCAACTTTTGGAAAACTAAACATCTTTAGTCTTTAGCTACCTTAGCTTTTCAAACCTCGGAGCTTCCTCAAAAAGATGAAGTAGAAAAGTCTAGCTACTCTCACTTGTGCAGGGTAGTGCATGAATGAGTTATCTTAGTTAGCCAGGGCTGCCATAACAAAGCATCATGGCTGGGTGGCTCAAACAACTGAAATTTATTTTCTCTCAACTTTGGAGGCTGAAAGTCTGAGATCAAGGTGTCAGCAGGGTTGGTTTCTGCTGAGACCTCTCTCCTTGGCTTGTAGATGGCTGCCTTCTCCCTGTGTTCTCACATGGTCTTCCCTACGTGTGCTCCTGGTGTCTCTTCCTCTTCTTTCTTTTTTTTTAGATGGAGTCTCGCTCTCTTACCCAGGCTGGAGTCCAGTGGTGCGATCTCGGCTCACTGCAACCTCTGCCTCGTGGGTTCAAGCAATCTCCCTGCCTCAGTAGCTGGTATTACAGGCACCTGCCACCACCCCTGGCTAATTTTTGTATTTTTTAGTAGAGATGGGGTTTCGCCATGTTGGCCAGGCTGGTCTTGAACTCCTGACCTCAGGTGATCCGCCTGCCTTGGCCTCCCAAAGTGCTGGGATTACAGGTGTGAGCCACCGCACCCGGCCTCTCTTCCTGTTCTTAAAAGGACCAAGTCATATTGGATTAAGGCCCACCCATATGATCTCATTTAATTATCTCTTTAAAGACCCTAGCTCCAAATGCAGCCACATTCTGAGGTACTGAGGGCTAGGACTTTAACATATGAATTGAGGGGGATGGGTCAGTGGGGAACAGTCCAGCCCATAACATTATTAAGCAAAAGAAAGGGAAGTTAAGGTTTTTGACATATCAAGAATTTTGGGAAGATCTCTTCTGAGCCCTACTCTCCACTTTCTTCTCACTGAAAGTGTCTGGGAAGAGAGTCAGAGGAAGAGTGGAGGCCGATGTGTCTGCGCTCCAGGCCACACACATGCACACCTAGTGTCTTTCTCAAAGCATCTGGGCCTCTTACTACCTTGAAGTATGCGCAGGTGCTTGCAAGAGGCCTAGGTGCTTTTGAGAAAGACACTGTGAGATTGTGCACTTCTGGAGAACATTTCCAGAATTTTATTCATGTCCATACCCCTAGCACTTAGCCTCTGGCCTAACACAAAACAGGCACCCAGTCAATGGTAGTTGAAGTGAGTGAGGGAAGGGAGGAGAGAAAGGAGACGGGAAGTGTCAGCAAGATGATGGGGCCAGGGCTTTGGCACTGAGACATGCAAGGCTTCCTTTACTTAGGTGCTGCCGGCCTCCATGGTTAGATTTTGAGCTTAAAAAGACCATAATCTAGAATCATCTTTATATTCTTCCAGACAAAATGCCTAACATAGAATCAAGCACACACTGAACATTCAATGTATGTACATTAAATTGAATTTCCTCAGTGAAGTGAATCTTTCTTTCACTTTTAGGGAGGATGTGTAGATAAGTCATACTTTTAAAAATCCACAGGTTTTTGTAGATGAGTCATTCCTAAATACAAGACTATAATGAGTTTATTATTATTATTATTACTATTATTATCATTACTACTATTTCTACCTCTTGTGCACCAGAATACTTAAAGATCCCATGGGTAAAGGAGACCAGAGTCTTTGAAAGACTCAAAACTAAAGCAACTTGCCTTCACCTTCTCTCCACCACACTACCAAGAATTAATTACCTACTTTGGGGGAATGAACAGAAGCATTATTCCATGTAGAATGGGAAAACCAGGCCCTCCGGACTCAGAGGGCTTCAAAGCTGAGCCTGCTAAGCTGCATCAACTTGAGGAGGATTTAAATCCTTTACCCTGCTTTCTCTGTCAGTAGTGAGTCACAGTTAGATGAGAAGGTGGTCTGGCAATGACAGGAAGCATCTTGCATGAGGTTAGTTGACATAATCTACTCTAGATACACAAACTCTAAAGATGGCGGTCATATCTCTGGTGTTAGCACACTTTTGAATTATTATTTAAAACAGGCATTATAGATTAGAAAAAAAAGCCTTTGTTTAAAAACAGATGATTTCTCTTAATTTCTAGGGAAATTAGAAATGCTCTAATGCTGCTGCTGATAGAATTAACTTCTCCTATTAATATATTACAGGGTTGATGCTGTGTCATTTATGCATTATAAAAACCCCAAAATCCTCAAGCACTCTGAACAGTAACAACCCGAGCAAACTGAGCCTGAGAGAGCTCCTTGGTCCATGTCCCTCATCATGTTCCACTTCCCCTCTTCTTCTCTGCACCGAGCCCTCTCTAAGGCAGTCACCCATGTAAAGAATGCAGAAGCCCCACAAAGGCAATGTGTTCTTTCCCTTTGTAACAATGGAATCTTAAACTGTTACCCAAACCTAGCAGCACACCAGTTTTAAAGATCTTCAGCACACTTCGTAAGTGGTAATCAGGACATAGGAATTCACTGATTAATTCAACAAAGTTTTCTTGAGCATCTACGTTATGCCAAGGGTTGTGCTTTCAGAGGTACTGGTCGGAGTCCATCACCACGAGTCTGTGGCCACCCCACTGTGGCTCAGACCTCACATACACAAAGGGCCAGTGTAGTCCCATCAAACATAGGTTTGTAAAGTCTTCCCAAAGACACAGTGACTAGACTGAAACAACATGTTCTTCATAGTGCCTATAGTACACTTTGAAATAGGGTTTTTAAAATCAATCTTGTTACTATCTTGTGAAAAGTTTATTTATAGTACACTGTATTTTGGTGTTAAAAGAAATAATTGATCATATATATACATATACAAACACACACATATTTTTTAATACAGCACAGTTTTTAATCCTATTTTGACATTTCTCCATTTGTATATACACTGGGTGCTTCAATACATGGAAATGGTCCAAGCCTCTCTGAGAATATAAAATAATAAAGATAACATGAAACCATGGTGATGATGCTTAAATCATTTCAAAATAACAATTACTATCCTTTTCTTTTAAATCTCCACTAGAGATTTCTTACTGACTCTTTTTATAGTGGCCTGATGGCATTTCACTGTGGTTTGAAATTGTATTCTGCTTCACTTTAAATCCCTCCTGCATCAGTTTCACTCCATTCTTTCTTGAGCTATTGGTGTAAATGAAGAACTTACTTACCGTCATTTATACTGGCTATTTCTTACCTTTTTGCAGTGTATGTGGACAGAGTACTTTGCTCATCATGGGTGCTGAACAAATGTTACTCAAATTTAACCAATCAAGTCAAGCTAATCAATATACAAAAAAAAAAAAAAAAAAAAAGAAACTATTGGCTATTGAACAAACTACTTCTTCCAAAACATTTCATGTATATTATTTCACAACATATCTGTTGTTTTTATTTTCTCTGATTATACGGCTGTAGAAATTGAGTCTCAGAAAGGCTAAGTAATTCATCTCCAAGGTCACACAGCTAATGAATTACAGGGTTGGAACTTATGCCCAAGCCAATCTGTCCTCAAAAGCTATGTTTTTGGCTCTAGCCTAGGCAATGTCTCACCTTTGCTTTTGGGGCAGGATTTGGCTGCCTTTAATTGCCAACAGACTCCACATGTATTTTCTAATGAAAACAATTCTTAAACTATGAGCAACTCTACAGGAAATTTGAAAAAATAAAGAGCAAATTTGGAGAGGTCAGAGCTTTGAAATTTTTTTCCATCATATTTCCTGAAAGTAATTGTTCAGGAAGATAAGGTTGTACTTTCCAGTAAAGCTGTGACAGTCCCAGAAATGCTGACTCACTTGTAATGGAATGTCATTCCTGGAACCATGTCCCATATAAAGTGGCCTGTCAGAGTTCTAGTAGAGATAAAAGGGCCTCGCTGGTCATGGCGCCTCTCCCCGCCACTGCAGCCAGCATGTTCACAAGACACCTTCTGTCTGCTTGATGCTTACATGATAAGCCTGTGTTAAAGATGCCAACACTTCTCAAGTTGCATTTGAAAATATATAGCTACCAAGGCATTTGTTTCATTTAAAATGAACAAGATTTAGAAATAATAATTTATTTTAATGTATCTTTAATACTTTAGCATTTCATTTTTGGACTACTTTGCCCTGCTTCATTTCCTTGACACTCACTTCCATAGAGTTCTGTCCCACTAACATACAGAACAGAAAGCAGAGCTCTGGCCAACTCTGTCTCTCCAAAACCACCTGTCCAATAGTTTTTGCTCTCCTTCCTGGGACAAGCTTTTGAAAGATTCATTTCCACTCTATTACTTAGTGTCTCCTTTATCCTCTGCCTTCAACTCACTACAAGAAAATGGTCCCATTCATGCACCTCCAAAGAGTCATATTAAATGGATGTTTTAATTCCTTTTTCTAGTTGGTCTCTGCAATATTTGATACCAATCACCATTCTCTCATCTTTCTTTTTGAGACCGAGTCTCGCTCTGTTGCCCAGGCTGGAGTGCAGTGGCACGATCTTGGCTCACTGCAATCTCCTCCTCCCAGGTTCAAGCAATTCTCCTGCCTCAGCCTCCCAAGTAGCTGGGATTACAGGCATGTGCCACCATGCCCAGCTAATTTTTTTGGTATTTTTAGTAGAGACAGGGTTTCACCATATTGGCCAGGCTGGTCTCGATCTCCTGACCTTGTGATTCACCCGCTTCAGCTTCCCAAAGTGCTGGGATTATGGGCGGGAGCCACTGCGCCCGGCCTCATCTTTCATATAAAAGATGAAACTTTTATATTTCTTGACTTCCTTAGTACCATTCTCTTCTCATTTTCCTCCTATTTATTTGGCCAATCCTTCTTGTTTTCAATTCATATACCATTTATATCATTCATCCTTTTTTCTCTTGCATCTTAAATATTAATTGTCCAAAGGATCCTGCTTCTGCACTTTTAACTCTACATTTTCCCTGGGTGACCTCATTCTCAAGACTTCAAATGTCCCCCTTACTTGGTGTCTGCCAAATACTGAAATCATCATGAAGGCAAGGATCACCACTAATATTGGTCTGGAGTATAGTAAATGACTAATACATGTTTATTAAACACATTAGATATCTATTTCCAGCCCAGGTCTCCTTCCTGAATCCCAGATAGCAGATATGTACTTCTGTACATGTGTGTATAAATATCTACCTGTTGGATCACTCCACTTGGTGTCCTGCAGACATCTCACATTAACTTATTCAAAAGTAGCTGATTTTTCACTGGCCCTGAACTTCTTTTTTATCTTTGGTTTTCTATTTTGGTAAATGGAACTGTGAAAATCAGAACCCTGGAAGCTGTCTTTATGTCTTTCTTTTCACCGACATACCCTTCTTCCATGTCCAGTTATTCATCAAATCCATTTCTTTTTCTCTTGTAAACCTTTCCAATCTATCCTCTCTACTCCATGCACTCACACTGCCACAACTTTAGTTCAGAGCTTCTTCATTGGGCTACTATCAGAGCCTCCTAACTGGTCTCACTATCTTCACTCTCTCTCCAGCTCCTGAACACCCCAGTGCATCCTCTGCACTGCTGTCAGAATGCTTTTTTTCTGAAAACAAATTCAATCGTTTTCATGAAAGACTCAATGCAAACGCGATTGTAGCCTTGTAGCAGAATTCAGACAATCTTCTAATGGGAAACAGACCTGGGTCAGAAGCACCCTAGATTCTTGTATTCTGTTCATGCTAAGGCAGTGGTGCTTGTGCCCTATTTCTAACCAATATACTTATCTTGAATAGTACTTATTTCACTAATTTAAAATTATTACTAGCATCCCTCAGGCTGGTTAATAAACCCTCTAGTGCTAATTGTGATTGCTGAGAGTTAAACATTTAGAGTAGCTACCTGATTAGAGTCTTTCAAATGCTAACTAATCTCCCCTAGAGTGTGTATTTCTGATTAGGGTTCTTCAAATATTAGCAAGGTGCCCCTGGAGGTAAGTTAAACTAACTAAACACACACATATGTGTCATACTTTCTATGCTGAATGATATTGAACTAAATTACAGAAAACACAATGCCTTATTTTATGGGTCCCCACATGCATGCCTGATCTGCCTACTGGGTAATTAAGCACTGAAGAATAGATATACAACAAATGTTCTGTTAATGAAAAAATAAATTATTTTACTAATTCATTAGTTATAAGGACAAAGACTCTTGATGGGGAATCAGAATTCATTTCATCAATACAAGCTTCAAACTTCCATTTCTCTGGCAGTAGCTAATATTAATCTGAATCTTATAAAACTGCCTTCATTACAGTTCAAAAAAGACACAAATATTGGCAGTTTTATATAGTTCAGTCTTCAATGATGCTTCCAAGCCACCTTCAAACACACAAAGAGAAATTCGGTTAAAGCACTTGTAAGAATGAAGTTCTATCCAAATGCTTCATAACGAGGCCCTGCGAGGAGAAGCAGATACCTACCTCTCAGTGTTGCCAGCGCCCTCAACCTTATTAATATTCTTAATCATTCAACAGGGGGTGGAGTTGCTGTGAAGTTGTCTCAGATCAATTAAATCTTGGGAGCTTCTGAAGTGACATTCAGATTCGTGGGAAGGTGAAAGAAAATCAATTTTTCCTTTTCAGTTTCCAGGTGTCCACAGATTTCCTGGTGTGAATAGTGAACTCTCATTTCCAACACAAAGGCAAAGATGGCCTCTCCTTTCAGGGCCATGGGCTGATTGCTGAGGTGATGCAGGGAAGAATGGGAGCCCCAGGGATCTTGCCTTGCCATTACTGACACTGACACAAAAAGAACTATTTATTTCAGGAGTTAGAAAAAGGAAGGGACAGAATTCCTATTTCACCAATCCTTGAAGTAAAATTACCTTGAGAATTTAGCCTTCAAACAAGGGGGAGAACACAAGCCTTCATTATCCAGCCAACACGTGAAGGGAAGAAATGCTTTTTGAGGAAGAATGTCATTTCAGAGGGGGAAGAGGAAGGAAAGATGAGTCAAAGTTGGGCAAAGTGAATTCCAGCATTTAGCTAGCAATCACCCCTAAACTGCCAGACTAAGCTACTGTAGTTCCTGAATGGCTGAGTCAAAGCAAAAGAGCAGGTAATTAGACAACAAGCACTAGAGCGTTGAGAAGCTTCACATTTCCAGGGTTTGCACTGAGAGCAAACTGGATATATGTGCTATGCTTTTAATATATTCTGCATCCTAATTACCAATCAGGGCTGATTTGTCAGTCATCCTACCTATAATGCATAAAGCACTGGAACATAGAAAAAAAATCAAGTTCAGAAAATCAATTATGCTTATATTTACATTCCCTCAAGACAGAAGCGTTACAAAAACTGCCGAAATATTGCCTATCTCTTTACAAAGGAGCGGAAAGGAAGGGTGAGATTGCAATTCAATGTAATGAATAAATCGCTGGCTGTTTGGGGAAAGGTACAATAGCTGAATATTTATGAGACTGGTGATAGAAAATGCATCTTAGATGGTCAGCAACTGTGGAAATATTTTACCATTTTTAAAGAGCATAGGAACAAGTACATGCTCAAAAAATTCTCAAAAAATTTAGAATCATCTTTTACATATAGAGAGCTAACAGAAGACGTTTTAAAATTCAGCCTTTTTATTGGATAGTGGTTGCTAGCAAGGGAATTTTTCCTCATTCTCAAATAGCCACGAGTGTAACACTACACTCAGATGAGAGGCGGTGTATAACTTCCTTCTAGCCTTCTCAAGATGGTAGACTAAACTCATTCTGTGTCTCCCCTTTTTCAGTTCATGTTCAGTCTTCAACCAAAGCACCTGCATTCCATTATCACCAGTCCACCGAACCCAGTTCTGCCAAGGTCCCCAAAGATCTCTTAATTTCAAATTCATTCTGTGAGATGGAAGAATGAGACTAAGAAAATAAAAGTGCAATTCATTGCCTATTTCCCAATACTCATCTTAACAAACATCCCTGTGGTTGTTGACACTTCTCCCCTCTCCTGGAAACCCTCTCATTCTTGGTTTCTGAGGTTTTCACTCTTCATTATCCCTCTGCCTCTCTGGTCATCCCATTTGTATCTCTTTTTTGGACTTTTCTTTATCTGCATGTATCTTAAATATTGGTACTCCTCACTTCAGCCTGCACATTTTCTTTGAGTGATGTTCACTACTATCTCTACGGCATTAATTGCCACTGGCAGGCTAAAGATACCTAAATCTTCACCTCTTGTTCAGATCTGGTACTTGAGCCTCAGGTTCAACATCCAACTTCCAGACAGACATCTCCACCTAAAGATTCATCAACATTTTATACACAATATGTCCAAAATGGAAGTGATTACCCCTCCCTGACTTCCAACCCTGCTCTTCCTCTTGCTCTCCCTTTGCTGTTTGCTGCTTGCCATAGGCAGCCTCTGAGAGAGTCCCCAGTAAATCCCTTGTGCAACCCCCACCACCCCCCCTCCCGCCGTTGAGTGTGAGCTGGACCTAGTTCCTTGCTTCTAACAAATACAGACCTTATTCCAATTCCATCAATTCCTGCTCCAGGATCGAATCAAGGATCCCACACTGCTTCCTCATTCTTCTCCACGTAATCTGTGGCAGCCCCTCATGTTTTTCTTGTCTTTAATGTTCTTGACAGAGTACTGGTCAGTTATGTTTTAGAATGTTCCTCAATATGAATTTGTCTCATGTTTTCAACATTATTCCTTTTGGGAAAGAATACTACATAAGTAATGTTTTCTCTTTCTCAGTATATATCAGAGGGTAAATGAATCATGCCTTGACACTAGTGGTGTTAGCTTTGATCATTGGCTAATGTAGTATCTACAAGGTTTTTTTCTCTCTAAACTTCTCATTATTCTCCTTGAAATTAATGAAGATAGTTTGAGATTGTGGTAATATTTTCAAACTTTTGCTCAATGATTTTAGCATCCCTCTTATTTAGTGGATCTTACTGCTGTGTTTACCTAGTAATAACTTTGTATGTCCTTCATGTCTTCTACATTTGTTAATTGGAATTTTTCTATACGGAAGAGCTGTCCCTTCTCCCTATACATTTATTTATTTGGATTATTTATAAGTGTGGAATTCAGGATATTTATTTATTTTATTGGTTATAATCCTATATTATCATTAGATATTTGATTGCTCAAATTGTTACATGTTTGGCCATCAGGAGCTCCTATGTCCTTAGGACATGACCTCGTTCTTTTTTTTTTTGAGCGCTTTCTTATTTTCTGGTACCACACGATGTTCCAGTCTCATCTTTTATATTCTCTTTCCCAACTCTAGAATCAACCACTTTTTCAAGGAGCTCTGCTTTCTTTTTTTTTTACTTGGAGAATAGTATTTATAAACTAAGATTCTGCCAGTAGGTATGCTCATGGCTACTCAGGTATCATTACTCTCAGGCCCTCTCAGTGGACAAAGCTAAGAAATATATATATGAATACTAACCCACACATACACACATCTATACTTATTTCTACATCTATTTGTGTGTGCACATATATGTACATATATGTGTGTGTGTGTGTATATATATATATATATATATAAAATCATGAGTACATATCGATACCTCTGATACCAATCCAACATCATGACATTCATTCCATGCTTCCCCTTCATTTAACTGTGACTTCTTTCTCCAGCAGTGAGAAACCTGGCTCTCATTATCTACAATACATTCACTTATTTAATAGTGTACATATAAGGTAGTTAAACAGTTACTAATCTATACATATAAGAAGCAAATTTCCAGATAACAGTATTTGTATATAGTTATTTTTCTCTTTAGTCTCACAGTATCCAGTCAACGTATTATTTTCACACATTCACTTCAGTGTGATTATGAATTAATTTGTCACACATTAGGTTCATTTGTTACTGATTACATTCCATTTTGGGTTTATCCCACTTCCTGGTTGATTGTAACTATTTATTAGGGGAAAAGCATGTATGTGAAACATTACTATGGGTCTAAGAGTCAAAACTTTATTAAAAATATACTCAGAAACATGTTTCTTCCTCTTCCTCTCTACTAATGTGCCCATATTCACTTCTTCTCATATTTTTCCCACCAACTTCTGTAGGTAACCAGTCTCTAGTTTCTCATTTATCTTTCCTGAATTTATTTCGCACACATGTGCAGATGCATGTGTATTTTCTTATGCTTTTATATCTAGTTCTTTCTCACATGAAAGGTAACATGTTATATATACCCTTTTGTGCTTTTCCGTCTCACGGAGTAGTATGTCCTGGAAATCATTCCGTATCAGCTCATGGAGATCTTCCTCATTCTGTTTTACAGGAGCATAGTACTCCATTGTGTAGGTGTGCTAGAATTTCTTCAACCACTCCTCCGAAGTGCTGAAATTTAAGTTGCTTCCAATATTTCTCAGTTACAAACAATGATACAATAAATAACTTTGGTATATACATTTTTGTATTTGGGGAAGTATATAGTCACGGTGGATCCTAGCAGTGGGATTTCTGGGTCAAAGAGTAAGTGCATATGTAGTTTTGTTAGGTATGAACAACTTGCGTTTCACGAGTGAAACCTTCTTACCAGCAATTTGTGAGCTAGTATCTGTGCCCTCACAGCCTCACTAGCTGAATGTGTGGACATGCTATTTAATTTTTGCCAGTCTGATAGTGAGAAATTGTACCTGAGTATTTATCTCTAATTATAAGTGAATTTGAATAAGTTTTTCATATATTTGAGGGCTATATATTTGTGTGTCTGTTCATGGTTTTTCTCTAACAGGTCTAGGTCCTTCTTCTCTCCATTTCTCAATCTCTGTATGTATGTCTTGAATATTTTCTCCTGGTTTGTCAGCTGTTTTGGTGTTGTTTAGGATGTGTGCTTTTTAGTCTTGAAAGTTTTTTTTTAAATTTTTTATGTAGTCAGATTTCTCAATCTTTACTTTTATTGACCTTGGATTTTGAGTAATGATTAGAGAGGCTTTCCCTGTACCTTCTACAAGGTAAAAAAGGAATTTACCCACATTTTCTTCGCATTCTCATATGCTTTCTTTATTCACATTTAAATCCTTATCCCTTCTTGAGTGATTCTTGTGTATGGTGTGAGATACGGATCTAATTTTTATCTCCTTTCAAATGGCCACCCATTTGTCCAGCACCATTTATTTAAAAGCCCAGGCTGGATGGCACCTAATAAACTAATTTTTAAATCTACAACAATAAGGAAAGGAAAGGAAGCCATGCCCTAGAGTACATGCCGAGGAGGAATATTTTATAAGCCAATTTATCAAGAATACACAACAATCTTAAATGGGTATCAACTGCCATGCATCTCTTGACTTCTTTTCTAATCTAACAAAAGTGCTATGGCTCTCATTTGACATAAGAGTTGGGCTGGAAAAAATCATTTCTTTATTTGTTCTTCTGGAATTGTTTTCCATTTCAACCCACAGAGTCAGAGGCATAATACTGAGCTTCCAGCCACATCTACAGTAACATCTTGACATCCATGACATACTTTAGGTCCTTAGAAAACAGCTGGATATAGTATTCATTTAATTCTTCCAGCTGTTAGTTTTTCTCTTTTGCCTTTGGCTTTTTAAAATTTTACCAGTTCATTTCCATTCTCCTAGAAAAGCTTCAGACACTGAAAACATCAATTTATTTTAAAGGGAGTGGTTCTGGGATAGGACTTTTTATTCTGAAAGACTATGAAAACCCAAGCAAAGCAGCTCCTGGCTACATTATACAAGTGATTCAATTCCAAGTTTGTCCTGCGTACTTCTCTGCCTCCCACCCTGCAAAACATTGAGAGATGAATCATTTAATTTCATAAACACTTGGTGTTAATTACTGGATGATGAATTTTGCTATAAGTAGGATCAGTTTGACACTTAAGAAATGCTGCAAAATCCAGCTTTTAAGGTGTGCATGAGGTAGGTAGATTAAGTAGCTAGGATTCATACCAATAGATTTATCCATACCTCTGAGCTGCTGAAATCAGTGAGTCAGCCAGAGTCTTCACTTCATGTTTGTGAAATGTCTTTCCTCCAGGGAGTTCTCCTCACATTCATTATCTCATTAATCATCCAACTATTTCCCTTGGAGAAAGAAAAGTGGGGAAACATACGTTCTATTAGCTCTTTTATTCCCAGGAGGAAATATTGAGGCTTAGAGAGAACAAATAACTTCCTCATCTGTAAAATGAGTCCTCTGGCCCACTCCATGTATTTTGCCCTAGGTGCTTGGTAAGGATGAAAGATTTGAGAAGAGCTTTACTTCTTAGGAAAAAATAATTACATTTGGCTAGTCAGGCAAATTATTAGAGGTTGTACCACTGTAACTTGAGTGAGAATTTTAATAAAAATGAAAATATATGGTACAAGAACCTATTGCTCTTTTGTGGCTCCTGATATTTATTTTTCTGGTATATCATGGTTACAATCCCAAATAATGAGGCTTCTGTAGGTTAGTCACCATTTGAAGGTATTGACATGCTTATTATACACATGAAGGAATGGAATTAATTAACATTTTGGGGATACCATCTTTGCATATGAAATTTTATTTAGTCTTGATAACAACCAAAAAAAAAAAAAAAAAAGAAAGCATTATTATCCTTATCTTACAAGTAAAGATGCAGAAGAAACTTACCAAGGATATCCCAGCCAGTAAATAGCAGAGCTGGGATTTGAATCCAGATCTTTTGATTTTTAAGTATATGTTTTCTCTAATATATGAAGTATTCACCAGAAATGACATGTCTCATCTTAATTCAAGTTAATTCCAACATTTTAAATTATGTAATTCACAACATCGGCATGTGTCTGTATTTGTTGTTTTAAAAATATTGTGCTTCTAGATAAGACAGGAGCATAATCTTCGCAACCATAAGCAGTGACTCTGCTTGGCAACTGTGAAAGCACATTAACCTCATGATCTGAATTCAGTAAACCTGGGTATACATCAGGCTACTTGCTGCTTGATCATGTTAAATCTCTGTCTTAGTCTGTTTGGGCTGCTATAACAAAATATCTTAGACTGGGTAATTTAGAAAGAACAGAAATCTATTTCTCACAGTTCTGGAGACTGTAAAGCTCAAAATCATGGCGATGGCATGTGGCTGCTCTCTGCTTCCAAGATGGTGCCCCATTACCGGATCCTCCTGCATCCACCTGATGGTGCCCTGTTGCTGCACAAGAGGATGCTGTGCCCTCACATGGTGGGAGGGATGGAAGGGATAAGAGAGAGAGAGGCAGCTCCTTTGCACCTTTTATAAAAGCACAAATCCCATCACTCCACCTTCATAATTTAATAACTTCCTGAAGTCCCCACCTCTTAAGACTATTACATTGGTGATTAAGTTTCAACATATGAATTTTGGGGACACATTCAGACCATAGCATTCTCTAAACCTAGTTTGCATTTCTCTAATCTGTGAATAATAATAATTACCTCAAAGGTTTTTGTGAGGATTAAATGAAATGAAGTTTATAGAGTTTTTAGCATAATGAATGGCACATAGCTCTAAATTAATAATACCACTACTGTTAATAAACAAATAAGTTATACCCTTGGGAAAATAAGCAAAGAACATACCAGAATAATTCACAAAAGAAATGCAAATGGACAATTAATGTCCAAGAAATTATGTTCAATTAGAGGAGCAATAAAACATATCAGGAATAAAGCAGGTCAGCATTTTTCACTCAAAATATTGGTAAGTAAAAATAAAAAATGATATCCAGTACTCATAAGGAGTGAGGAGCTGGCACTCTTGTAGATTGCCAGTAAAGAGTGTAAATCTATAAAATCTTTTTAGATGGCAACTTGGCAATACATATAGAAAGTTTTAGAATGCCCATATATTCTTTGATTGAGGAATTTCACCCAGAGGAATTTATTCTGAGGAACATCAAGTACACTATAATAAATGTACAAAGAATTTCATGACAAAAATTGTATGCATATTAGAAGTTTGAAATGATCTTAATGTTCAGCAATGAGGAATTGATTAAATATATTATGGTACATAAATACTGTTAAATGTTTTGGGTTATAAAAAGAGAGACTTATTCAATTTGTCTCCAGTAAGTCAGTACCTATTGGAACTATAAATGGCACAAAAAGAAGTTGAGAGTCTTATCTACATGATCATGCTTCATGGAACCAAATACAATTCCCAAAGGAAGTGCAAGTGCAACCATCCATGAAGACCTCCCAAAGGCTAAAATTCAGAGAATTCGAGAGCTATTCAAAACCCAGCAGCTTAAAAAACCAGAGTATCTGTTCTCCTGTCATCACTCTGAATTTGTTCATCCTGACTGCATCATGACTCAGCTCTACCTAATTACTCCTACTCTACCTACTAACCAACTATATCCTCCCCTGTGCTGTATGATTTAGCTTACAATAATCATAATTTTCTCTTACTCGTAGCATCTACTGCTTTATTTTCCTCCTGTCAACCTTTTCCATGAGGGTATTCTATCTTCTGCTCCCCTTATCACTGACTAAATCCTTGTATATATTATATAAATTCCCAAGGGAATATGATATTTTGTATTAATTGCTGATACAGTTTGGCTCTGCATTCCCACCCAAATCTCATCTCTTTGTAATCCCCACATATCAGGGGAGGGGCCTGGTGGGAGGTGATTGAATCATGGAGGCAGACTTCTGTCTTGCTATTCTTGTGATAGTGAGTTCTCACGAGATCTGGTTGTTTGAAAGTGTGTGGCACTTCCCCTTTGCTCGTGCTCTCTCTTTCCTGCTCCACCATGGTAAGACGTGCTTGCTTCCCCTTCTCCCTTCTCACATTATAGTAAGTTTCTGAGGCCTCTCAGACACGCTTCCTGTTAAGCCTCAGAAACTGTGAGTCAATTAAACCTCTTTTCTTCATAAATTGCCCAGTCTCAGGCAGTTCTTTATAGCAGTGTGAAAACAGACTAAGACAACTGCCATCATCACTGACTGGGCAAGCTTTTGTGACAGCTGTCTCATAGGTCAGAGGTCACTGGAACATTCACACATTGACTGCCCTTGGAAAGGTCAGAAGTTGAAAACAAGCCACATGTGGAACATAGGTGTGATTTGTTCGGCTTGCACTTTGTTGGCCCACACAGGAGATCAGATAATTTCTTTTTTCTTTTTTTTTTAAGACAGAGTCTTGCTCTATCACCAGGCTGGAGTACAGTGGCTCAATCTTGGTTCACTGCAACTTCCGCCTCCCTGGTTCAAGCAATTCTCCCATGTTCAAGCGATTCTCCTGCTTCAGCCTCCTGAGTAGCTGGGACTACAGGCATGCGCCACCACGCCCAGCTAATTTTTGTATTTTTACAAAAATTTTTATTTTTAGTAGAGACAGGGTTTCAACATGTTGTCCAGGATGGCCTCCATCTCTTGACCTCGTGATCTGCTCACCTTGGCCTCCCAAAGTGCTGGGATTACAGGCGTGAACCTGTTTAAACCTTCCTATGCACCTGCATAGTAACACTTCCAAGGATTTTTGCATAAATATACTGTACAAAATATCAACTACATAATTATTTCATACTTAATGGGCTTTTTAGTGGGTATGTTTTTATGTAATATGCAACAATACAACAGAATATCTAATAGAAATTAGTTTTCCTTATGTACTATAGCAGGCATAATTTTTAATATAAAATAAAAGCTACTGTGTGTTTTAAAGTTATGTCATAAATACAAATAACATTTAGTTAAATAAAATAAGCAAACATGGAAATTTTACAAAATGATTACTAACCAAATAAAGAGAGGTTTAGAGAGAGGGAGATGGAGGTTGCAGGCAGGTAGATGTTAATACTGCTCAGTCGATGTGAAGCCGAGTGGGAATGAGCTGGCAGAGAGTGAGTGGAGCGTCAAATGCCTGTGGTTCACCTGTTTTCAAGTCCAAGGATCTTATGTACGCTCATCTCTTTTTGGATCTTGAGACACTAGAGGTGCATGGCTATGAACCATTATCTGTAATGGCAGATAAAGTTATGGACCAAAACAAAACAAAACAAACTTTGCAAAAACAAGTATTTTATCTGCATAATTTCACGTTTCCTAAAGACCCAGCAATGAGCATTTATTGCTCCTCTTCTTTCCCTTCCTGGGCTGTAGAATGAGCAACTAGTTGAACAAGTTCTGTGGTCATACGTTAAGGTCTTTTTACCATCCACTTCACTAAATCTAGCCCTCTTCACAAGATTTAGGATTTTTGCTTTGCGTTAATCACTTCCCTGAAACCTTGGAAGTCAGCAACATATTGCAGTACTAGTTTCTCCCATAGTCCATTCATTGTTTGTTATGATACATGCCAAACCCAGTTGATAAATGTGAAGACCTTCTGAATGTCAAAACTCTTCTATAAATTCTGTGCTGAAACAGTGTTGCCTGCATCATCACACCATATATCAGCATATAAGTGCCACATACTGCATCACCATCTGCAAACAATATGCCTTGAAGGCTGTAGTGATTCAGGTCCAGAGGCTATGATAATGGCATCATGCTGGAAGGCAAAAAGTCCATTGCGATATTATCTCCATAACTGTCAACACTAGAAGGACATCTGGGAGCTTAGTCTATTATCAAAGGAGCCTTGTTTGCAAGTTTTCCATCCGTGTGTACTCTGATGAATAGAGACAGCTCCTCATGTAATCACTGAAAGCTGCCTTGGTCATCCTATCTTTACGAGCTGAATATTACACAGCAGGCAATTCACTCTCCCTTAGTCGCTAAAAGGCACTGGGGCTTTTGAAGTGATACACAAGCAGAGGTTTTAGCTTAACTTCACATTCACTTAAAAGTAGTGTTAGACTACTTTGGATGCTTTATGTTCTGGCATTTTTGTCTTCTTTTCTGAAGTGAACATACAAGATGGCATACATTTCCAAAGCAGATCAATTCCATCAACATTAAAAATGTGCTGTGCAGTTGAATCACCTTTGTCAATAGCGTTCAGCAATTCACAGGCTCGTACTTCTTCACAGGCTTTTCAGCACTCTTAGAAGACATTTTCATATAATAATGTGGGGATCTGATACGATAATGCACTACATGTTGAAACTGCAAGCACAAGATTCAGTGTTGTCAAGAGAAGAGCTGAGAATCTACCGCAGCAACTCTATTTTCTCCCCAGAATTTGTGCACAAATCAAACAGTCTTACTGCTGTGACAATGTAGATTTCTTATAACAAGTTTTCCTTTCAGATAGTGAATTCAAGAAAAAAATTTTACAAGCTCTTAAAACAAATATTTGGATAGTGAGATTCAGATGGCAAGGGATGTCCATTACAGTATAAGGAGAATATGAAAGGACATAAATCAAGGTTAATAGTAACCATCCCTGAAAGTTGGGACAGAATCATTTTAATAATTTTTCTTTTGGTTCCTCAATGTTTCTAGTCTATCTAAAATGAATAGGTATCAATTTTATAGTTTAAATGGAGAATATAGATACATTGCTAGATTGAAATGCCATCTACCTAGACTAACACAGTATTTCATGCCTACATTGTTTTGAGCCTCAAAGCAGAAAAGCTCGTCAACAATATTTCCTATACACTTATAAGATTTCAGTAAAGATCGAATAAGATATTAAATGGGACTCTTTTTGCATCATTTAAGAAGGCAAAGGAGGTGTCAGAAAACTAATTTTTTAACCTTTAGCTCAACACCACATAAAGGATATAAGAGGCCCTTATAGAAGAGGCCTTTGTAGAAAAGGCCAAGAAAGAAAATTAGGAGAATGTGCTCTCACATTTTCCCTCCTTCATCCACTGAGGAGGAAGAAAGATGTTTCCCTTTTACCTCAAGCTTAAAGAAAAAGGCTTTCAGGAGAACATTTATAGAGGTTGATAAGGGTTTCCTGCAATGTGTAGGGCACTGGTGTCTGACATACCCTGGAGGATTTACCCCCTGAGATAGGAGAACCCAGAAAGAGGCGAGGTTGGAGAAGGCTCTCCCTACACATGCACCAGTAGAGAGGCATGGCACTACCAGGCAAGTAAGGTATTTCCTGTCCCTGACTTCTTCTGTCTTCCCCAAGTCAGGGGAAACTGAGACATGGCGGTGGAAGGTAAGGGTGTAGCAAGGAAGGAGAGAGAGAAAATGGTAAGACCTGGAAAGAAGCAAGACGCCTTCTTTACCACCACAGGCTTCCAACTCAACCTGGGGGAGGAGAAAAGTTTCACTTCACATGAAGTACAGTGTTGATGATCTCAGTGGACTGAACAGAATGATGGCTACAAGGAGACTATCCCAGTGAATGAAATTGAATGGAAACAGTGGTTTTTGTTTTCTTTTGTTTTTTGTTTTTTTGTTTGTTTGTTTTTGAATAAGAAAACTGGAGCTGGCCACGGTGGCTCAAACCTGTAATCCCAGCACTTTGGGAGGCCGAGGCAGGCAGATTACCTGAGGTCAGGAGTTCGAGACCAACCTGGCCAATACAGCGAAACCCCATCTCTATAAAAAATACAAAAAAAATTAGCCGGGCATGGTGGCGGGCACCTGTAATCCCAGCTACTCAGGAGGCTGAGGCAGAAGAGTTGCTTGAACCCGGGACGCAGAGGTTGTGATGAGCTGAGATCGTGCCATTGCACTCCAGCCTGGGCAAAAAGAGCGAAACTCTGCCTCGAAACAAAAAAACCAAAAACAAACAAACTAAAAAAGAGTAAGAAAACTGGGAGATTAACTTTCATAAAAAGGGTGGGGAAAATCTAATGGCATTAAATGGTTAGCGATTGTGGTGTGGGAAGTGGGAGAATAAAGTTGCTTATAATCCTGCCCTATGGAGTTCTGCTCGTTCATATTACTAAAACTCCTACGTGCATCATATTGCTATCTTTACTGTAAAGAAGTTACGAAGTACATCATTCTCTACATTTCACATATGTGCTTTACTAGAACCCACAGGAAGTAATTCGCCCCAGTCTTTTTCCAGCAATAGTTCTCCACAGCAAACTGTTTTTATGCTGTGTGCAATGTGGATTAATGAACTTGACCTGCTGGCTGTGGAAATGGTTTTGGTCAGCCGTTAGATGCTCGGAATAAAATGTGTGGTACATTCCTAACAAATGCACCGGTCACTCTGAAGTAACTTTGGGTCCCAATCTCAATCCCAGCTTCATCCTACCATTCCTACTCTTTTCTTCATTGTTCTTATTTATCTTTTTGTGTAGTATGTATTTATGTAAGCCATCTCAAATTCTTTCTGTACTGTGGCAGGGCAATAAATACATTTATCACAAATGCCTATAGACCTAGCTTAAAATAATTTGCACTAAAATTAATCTTGAACATAATTTAACTTTGTTCTAGTGATTCTGAAGATGCTTTGGGGTCTTGCTTTGCCTTAAAGACATCAATATGAACATCCATTTTTATTGTGCTAAAAGTGTGATTAAGTTGATAGAGGACTCCAATTAATAATGGTGGATCTGATAACAAAGTTTTCTCTGTGTTATTAGCCTGGGTTGGGTAGGAGGTGGCGAATAAGGTTCTGAAATCATTTTCTTTAATGTTTAGGTATTTCTAAGTAAATATTCATCTATGTGTAAGCCATTTAATTTTAAAGAAGCAAATGCTGTTTATACCTGACAATGCTATTTGTACACATTTAAGATTATATACATATATATATACACACATACATACATTATATATATATACACACACACATACGTATATACATACACATATCACTTTGACTATTTAGGATGTGGACCAAATAGGGTTTCTAATTCAAACTGCAGTTTAAGCACAAATGATTATCTAATAATTCCAAGAAAGTGTGAAGAAATAATCCGGTAGAAGTGGACAGAAGGGGGATACATCAGTAGGCAAGAGGTTTAAACACATTTCTAAGAGATGGAAAGAAGATGGAAGCCTATTGAAAGATGAAACCAAACGAGAAGGCAAGGACCCAGAATTCAGAAAGGAGGGAAGGAAGGAAAGAACGAAGGAAGGAAGGAAGGAAGGAAGGAAGGAAGGAAGGAAGGAAGGAAAGGAAGGAGGGAGGGAGGGAAGGAGGTTAACATTGATTGCAGACAGGCTCCAAGTTCAGGGTCAGAGGAACAAATCGGGGCAAAGGGAGCTGAAAGGAAGGGGTTAATTAAAATTCTACTACACAACACTCCAGGAGGGGGAGGGGGAGGGTTATCAAAACAGGAGAAAGGAGGAAGGTAATAAGAAATAGCAGGGTAAAGAACTGTACGAGAAAGTCATGCCCAAAAACCATGGAAACTAAAATGTGACATGATTTTGAGCAATTGAGAGAATTAATAAGAAATAAAAATTAATTAGAACTGGATGCAAGGATCATTTGGCTTTGACTGGTACCAAAATTGAAACATCGAATTTATAATCCTAAAGCATTAATTGTCTCTATAATGAACAATATTCACTTAGTCGTAATAATGTAAATATCGTATACTAATTTTCAGCTTTTGAATTAACCTACAAACCAAACCTGGGAAACTTAAAAACGTTACATAGCAGAATGTAATTGTTATCAGGAGACACAGGGTGAAAGGGGAAAGGTGAAGTGCAGGCAAGGCTAGGGGCTCTAACAGCCTCCTCTATGGGGAGCAGCAAAGCATACTCTTGACTGCACAGATAATACAACCATCCCAGTTCTACCACTTAACTGATGACCTTGAACAAGTCAGTTTCATAACTGCTCTGTGCCTCAGTTTCCATGTCTCAAAATGAGGATAATAATTCTCTGATATGAGGAGAAAATGAATTTATTGTATGTGAAGTGTTTAGAACTGTGCCTGGCGTACAGTAAGCACTCAAATGTTTAATATTATCTAACACCATTAATATTCAAATCTAAAAATCACTTTTAAATCTAAAAAAAAACAATTATTGTATGTTGGGAGGTGGGAGGAGAGGAAGGGAGGGGAGACATAGCTTAAATAGACTAAACACTTTTCAGCTTCTCAGAACTTCAGCTAATAAGTGACGTCTAAAGCTGACAGCTGAAGAAAAAGTAGTGTTTTGTATTTCAAGTTAGAAACACTTAAACCAGAAATAATTACAAGCATTTATTATTTTTTCTAATTAAATAAATAATTACACAATTATTCTTTTTAAAATAAAGTTATCATACATTTGGCAATTCTATGAATGCCAAAATCCCCAAAGCCAAACAAATCAAGCTGAATCTATTCTTTTACAAGAGAATTCAGTCTGCCAGCTTTAGTTGGAAGTGAAAAGTAATCTCTCAGCCTACGATATTTTCCCAAGTCTTTGCTGCACTTTCCAGGGTGATAGCAATGCCACACCTCTTGGCAGCGAGACTCCAACCTTGGGGAAATATAATATTAGTGCCGTATGTCACAGTTTCAAACTGCACTAAAATTCTACTGGCCCTTGGCCCAATTTCATATGGCTCATGTGTCTGCTTCCCGGCTACAGCTTGTGGGGGCAACTTGTGTGGAAGGCTAAGACACTCTCTCTAAGAGATGGCTACATGGGTTGTCAGTTTTCACACTTGTTGAAGGCAGGTGATCAGTGAAGGGTTATTACCACCTGTAGGAATGCGACAGCTCTTCGACCCTTCTGGTCTCTCAGAGCCGACGCCTTTTTCATCTCTTTGACCAACACTCCTCCATACAATGATTATAATCTGTATTCTTCCTAAGGCGCATCTTACAGGAAGATGTTAGATTAACACCTTCTGGAGGGACTAAAACCCCAATGATATTTAAGCATACATTGAAGGTGGTTATTCTTCATTTTAGTGATAAACTTGGTTCACTTTCCCTGTATACAGCTTTGCAATAGATAGTGAAACAATGTCAACAGTTATTGATCACCTACTATTTGTCAGGTTCTGTATTAGGAGTTGACAATGTAGTCTAACAGATAAATCAGACAAAAATGTAATGGAATGTAATAAATTCTATGATGATGATAAACACAGGGTGCTCTTGGAACATACAGGAGGGAACTAACTCAGCCTGGGAAGAAGAGTAGAGCATCAAGTAAGGCTTGCAAATACGGAGAAAATAGGCAAGCACAAAAGGAGAGGAAGGTAACTCTAGGTAGAGGGTACAGCACAGATAAAGAGCTGGGAAGGGTTTATATGGAGAAGTCATACTTTTAGGGAGGTAGAAGAGGGCCAGATAATAAAGGGAGGGCTTCTATGATGTGCTAAGGAGAGAATATTTTTCTGAAGGTCTCTAAAAGGGACATCAAAACACTTCAAGCAGAAAAATAATATAGTCATTTTGTTTTAAGATTATTCTGGCTATAAAAAGTGGCTAGCAGAAGGAGTACAGGAAGATCAGTTGAAAGGTGAACCAGACATGTCTTATGGGCCACTTTAAACCCTCTCAGCCCCACCTCTTCCTACTGGAGCCACTGCTGGAGGATGTGCCACCACTTCTCACTCCTGTCCCAGGAATTTCTGAGGCTTTGGAGTATCAATACCTCTGGGCATTCATGCAAGTACAATCTGGAATTGCCAGGGACTTACTATTATTGGACCGTTCTTGAGCAACTGGGCTGGAAGCTGAGTGATCAATGCTTCTCCCTTTCACACCCCAGATGAAAAGTTCCCACAGGACTCAGCAACAGTGGGTTGTGGTAGTGGCTAACCCGATATAGCAAAACCGTGTTGGCATTCCTTCCTTCTCTGTTTCTTCACTTCAACTCCTCATGATAAACAACCTCTAAATAAACCTAACACAAGTCTTTGTTCCAGATTCTGCCTTTATGGAACCTAGTTTAAGAATGAAGATTACCAGATAAATCCAGGAGAAAGTCATGTGTACATGAAATAAGGCATGGTAATGAAAATGGAGACAAGGGAATGGATTATTCATTCACAAGATCTCAAGGACGTGGGATCAACACCTTGGCTATGAGGAATAAGGAAGAAAGATAAGCCTATGCCTAGGAGAATTCTCAGGTATCTGACTCAGGTGGTGGAGTGGATAGGGATACCATTCACAGAAAGCCATACAGAAACAAAATAGCCAGGCACAGCAGCTCACGCCTGTAATCCTAGCACTTTGGGAGGCCGAGGCAGGAGGCGTTGCTTGAACCCAGGAGTTCAACACCAACCTTGGCAACATAGTGAGACCCTGTATCCATAAAAATAATAATAATAATATTTTTTTAAAGGAGAGTGGTATTGAAGAAATGAAGGAAGGGTGTTTGTCTCTTGGATTTGTAGGAGTTCTTTCTATATCCTAGATACGAGTCTTTTATAGGGTATGTGGGTCTTTGAACACGCAAGTGTGAGGTGCTTTTAAATCAAGGGGACGATGCCCTGTGGCAGTTTTACATACATATATATACATGGTGTAAATGTGTAAGATGCAAAGAAATGAAGAGGAAAGATGGACATTTAGGGAACATCTGCAGGTAAGGGGTGGGCAAAAGATTTTGTGAAATACACTGAGTTGTGGTTCAATATGTAGGAGAAAACAGTGGTGACACAGTGGATTAGACAGGGTTCTCTAGAGAGGTGACCAATAGGATGAATGGAGGGAGGGATGGATGAATACCTAGAGAGAGAGGAGAGAGAGGGAAAGAGAGAGAGAGAGACAGAGAAAGAGAGAGACTTAGGGGAATTGGCAGTCTGCAAACTGGAGACCCTGGGATTTCTATAGTGTGGTTCAGTCCAGTCCAAGTCCTATAGCTTTAGAATCACGGAAGCTGATGCTGTAATTCGCAGTCTAAGGTCAAAGGTCTGAAACCCAGGAAGTGGTGATGAGGGAGAAGGGGGTACTGGTGTAGGTCTTGCAGTCCAAAGCCTGGAGCTCTGATGACCAAGGGCAGAAGAGTGTGTACCAGCTCTGAGAGAAAGAGACTAAATCTTTTCCTCTTTTTGTTCTATCGGGGCTCTTAGCCTACACACATTGAGGGTGGATCTCCTATACTCAGTCCACTGACTCAAGTGCCAATGGCCCCTGGAAACACCCTCTCACACACCTAAAAACACTACTTTGCCAGTTCTCTAGATATTCCTTAATTCAGTCAAGTTGACACCTAAAATTAACCATCACACAGAGGACTCAAAGGAAAAAAGAGGCTGGGAGGGGTGGCTCATGCCTGTAATCCCCCAGCACATTGGGAGGCCAAGGCAAGTGGATCACTTGAGCCCAGAAGTTCAAGACCAGCTTGGGCGACATGGCAAGACTCTGTCTCTACAAAAAAAATACAAAATATATCCAGGTGTGGTGGCCTGCACCTGTAATTCCCACTACTGCAGAGGCTGAGGTGGGAGAATGGCTTGAACCCAGGAAGTTGAGGCTGCAGTAAGCCGAGTTCACGCCACTGCACTTTAGCCTGGGCAAAGAGAGTGAGACTCTGTTTCAAGAAAAAAGGAGAACCGTGTTTTTAAAAGGTGCAAATAGTTTACAAGACAGAACCAGAGGGTCCAACAGATGAGAACCGAAAAGTATTTATTAGATTTGACAAACAGGAAGTCATTGGTAACTCTGGCAAATTCGTTTTCATGGAGAAGTAGATACAGAAGCCAAATAGCAGAGGATTACAGAGTAATTGGGGGACCAATAAAGACAGGCAGAAACAACAACATAAGATTCTCTGCTCCCCCTACTGGCGATGGATGGATGGATGGATAGATAGATAGACAGCTAAATAACCTGTTCATCATTTTAAAATTCAGACAATAGAGGAAAGAAGAAAGATTTTTAAAAATCACCCTTGGTGCCATTCATAGATAACAACTGCTACAATTTTGGTCTATCTCCCTTTAGACTTTCTCTTATTTATATGCATTACTTTTAGCAAAAATGTCACCATATTCTATATAACACTTTATAACCTGTTTTCTTTGTATAACAATAGGTAATGAACATCTTTCCAGGTCTATAAATCTATATTTACAATGTCATTTGTAACGGCTGTGTAGATTCCATGGCACGAATGTATCACAACTTAAATAACCAATTCCCTGTTAAAGGACATAAAACATTTTTGTATTGACAACTCTGCAATACAACTATACACATTTGCCTATTTGCACAGGATCAGTTTCTAGGAGACTGACTGGATTAAAGGATATGTTTATTTTGTTGAAAGATTCTGATAAAATGATGCACCAGAATGTTTATAGCCCAAGCATTCTGTAAAAGCATACCCTTGACAACGCTGCATCATTCTTTTTGATATCTGCCTATGTGATTTTTAAAATAGCATCTTACTTTTTTGTATTTGCTTGTTTCCTCGTAATGTTGAATGTCTTCATATATTTATTGGTAGCTCTTGATGAACTGCCTGCTAATGACTTGTCCATTCATCATATTTATATCTTGATACAACAGCTTTATGTATTAAATATGGCATTTGACTTTGACTGTTAGGGATGTTACCAATATTTTCCAGCTCTTCATTTGCCTTTTGATTTTGTCTGGGGCACTTTAAAGCACTTTTTATTTTGTTAGTTCTTCCATTATAAAAAATAGGTATGTTCAAAAATAACTAAATCTTATTTTTTTTCCATCCAATTTTAAGCCCCGGGGCTAATCAGTATCAACTGAAATATATTTTTGTATTTTCAAAAATACATGAAAGTTCTCTATTTGGTATATTCAGGGATATCTTTTTTCACTTATGGCCCTTGATGCCATGCTTAGAAAGGCTCCCCAAAACTATATAAATATTTGCCTTTGTTTCTTTCTAGTATTTTTAGTGTTTACATTAAAAATTCTAATCTAGCTAGAATTTATCCTGGTATTTGATGAGACATATGGATCTAAGTTGTTTTTCCCCAAAGGGTTGGCTAATTGAGTCTCATTTATCAATACTATAGTTTTCTCTTTCCAAAATGATTTGAAGTAAAACCTTTGTCATAAATTTAATTTTTGTATATTATTAAGTCTCTTTCTAAACTTTCTATTCTATTCCATTAATTTGTTTGTTTTGGTGCCAGTACCGTAATGTTCTAAGTATTGCCACTTTGAATTTTTAACAATAAGAACACTAATTAACATTTACAATAAGAATAATAATTAACATTATTACTACATGCCAGTGTGCAATGTACCATATTAAATGCTTTACATAGATCATCTCTTTTACTTCTCATAGTATCCAATGATATAAGGGACTATTAGTATCATCTCCAGTTCATTTTTAAAAAAATTATAATAATGATAAATAATTTGTTAACTACTAGTTGGGTATCAGGCACTATTCTAAGTGGAATTTTCACAGTCGACCTATGAGGGAGGCACTATTATTACCTCCATTTTATAGACAAAAGTGATATAAAAAGAGGTGAAGCAATTTATCCAAAGCCACCCAGTTAGTTACAAATGGATGAAGCTGGAATTCAATCCCAGGCAGACTTATTTCAACGCAACCTATGCTATTCTGCTAAAAAATTTTAAATGATAATAAAAGTAAATTTTATTATCATTTTTAATATTTAAAAGTAAATTTTAAAAGACTTCATTACACATTATTTTGCTGGAATTTTGTTGGTTTTTTTCCTCACAAATAATTTTATAAGATCCCTTGGTACTGGCTGTGTGCAGTGGCTCATGTCTGTAATCCCAGCACTCTGGGAGGCCGAGAAGGGCGGATTGCTTGAGTCCGGGAGTTCAAGACCACCCTGGGCAACTGGAATGAGACTCTGTCTCAAATTAAAAAAAAAAAAAAAAAAGAGTTTTTTTGGGGGTTGGGGAGGCTTTCTATCGCCCAGGCTGGAGTGCAGCGGTGCAATCTCAGCTCACTGCAGCCTCGACATCCCTGGCTCAGGCAATTCTTCCACCTCAGCCTCCTGAATAGCTGGGACTACAGGTGCGCCACCACACCCTACTAATTTTTGTATTTTTGTAGAGACAGGGTATCTCCATGTTGCCCAGGCTGGTCTTGAACTCGTGAGCTCACATGATACCCCTACCTCTACCCACAAAGTCCTGGGATTACAGGTGTGAGCCACTGCACCAAGCCAAGTATTTTCAATATATATGCCCTTTGCCATATGACTTGAAAATTTTTTTATGGTCTTTTAAAATCTTTTGAGTATATAGAATTTTTCATCATATAAAAACAAGTTATTTTTATGAAGTTAAGCACAACTATCTTGACTTTTTTGCTTCTGGGTTTTTCTAACACATCAAGTTTACAAAATATTTTCCTAAATTTCATTCTATATTTTACACTTTTATATTTTAAAACTGAATTTATTTTCAAAATGATATGAACTGTAGATATAATTTTGCTTTTTCCAGACGGATAGCCCATTATGCCAGCATATTTATAAATAAATTACCCTTAGCCATCAAATTAAAATGCACTCTTACCATTTATTAGTTTCTCATAACATTCTGATCTTTCTTCTGAATATTTTTATATTGTTTACTAATATAGTTTTCCATTACCATTACCGTACTACGTGGATTTAATTATGGTAGCTTTGAGGTGTTGATACCTGAGAAGACAAGTCTTCCCTCATTAATTTAGAAAAGAATTTTGACTGGTCTCAGCTGTTTTCCTCTACAAACTTTAGAATCATTTCAACCTGTTTAAAAAAAAAAAAAAAAAAAGGAGAAGTCAAAAAGTAAGACTCTAAGTGGAAATGCAGTGAATTTATATATTAATTTGGGGGAAATTGTTTTAAATATTAGGTATTCCCATCTAGGATAAATCAGTCTCTACAATCATTAAAGATTGATTCTCGACTTTTAACGACGGTTTCCATAGTACCTGTACCTTTTTATTAAATTTATCCCAAGGGACAAATCATATACTTTAGAACTACTGTAAAATTTTTTTTTCATTTTTAAATGTTTAAGTTTTTTCTTCAAATGCTAACTGGATATTTCTATGTTGAAGAAAAGCTTTTGATTTTTGTATATCTATTGTGTAACCAGTCGAATATTAATTCTATGAGATTTTTAGGAAATCTCTGAAATATATAGCCACATTATCTGCAAAAGAATAACACTGTTGCTTATTCTTTTTTAAAAAATTATATTAATTAATAATTTAATTAATAATTAATTGATTTAAAATTATATTAATTAATTAATAATTTCTTGTATTATTGGACTTAGCTAAAATTTTAAAAACCAAATAGTTGTGGTAATGGAGGGTTAATTTAACGTTTTCTTAATCTAATGCAATGGTGTTAATATTTTATTATGTACTGTGCTATCTGTTCATTGTTATAAAAAGTCTTTACATGTTTAGGTGATTATCCTCTATTGCTATTTTATTTGGATGATATCTTTCCTTTTAAAAAATTCTAGTTTGAGATTTTTAAAAAGTAGTTGGGCATGCATTTCCTTGCCCTTCGTCGCATTCCTTCTGTGGAGTGCTGAGGCAGGAGTAAGAGTTCTGCAGCCATTTCAGATGCTGAAAGGGAAATTGTCTGTCAAGAATGGCAAAGCAACCCTAGCAGCCCTGGACCACCCACCTCTGTAATTTGAGAAATAGGCCGGGCACGGGCGCGGTGGCTCACGCCTGTAATCCCAGCACTTTGGGAGGCCGAGGTGGGTGGATCACGAGATCAGGAGTTCCAGACCAGCCTGGCCAAGATGGTGAAACCCCGTCTCTACTAAAAATACACAAAAAAAAATTAGCTGGGCTTGGTGGCGGGCGTCTGTAATCCCAGCTACTCAGAGGCTGAGGCAAGGAATTGTTTGAACCCGGGAGTCGGAGGTTGCAGTGAGCCAAAATGGCGCCACTGCACTCCAGCCTGGGTGACAGAGTGAGACTCCATCTCAAAAAAAGAAGAAAATAAAGAAACTTTTATTGTATTTTTTAAAAATTCTACTTTGAAATATATAATACACACAACTTAAAATATAAAGTGCACGTTGTGAGAATAACAAAATAAATAGCCACTTAGTACTGTAATGGTAATAGACAACTAGATTAGTAAACAATATAAAATATCCAGAAGAAAGATCAGAATGTTACAAGAAACTGATAAATGGTAAGAGTGCATTTTAATTTGAGGGCATGTACACGTGTACAGCGTGTACATAGTACGCATGTACATCCCATCTTGTTTAGGAACTTAAAAATTTCCAGTACCTTAGACAGCCGCTCTGTGCTCCTCCCTGACCGCCATTTCTCTGCCTACACGCATTCCCCCAAGATGTTACTATTATCCGGAATAGCACATTCATCTTTAGAGTGATAGCGCGACCTATCCCTAAATAACTCAATTTTCCTTGTTTTAAATTTTATGTAGGTAGAACAATGCTATGGATATTTTTCCGATTTGCTTTTTCACTCAGTATGTTCTGAAAATTATGTTATTGCATATAGTTAGCAAGCATTTATTTTCATGGCTATATGTCAATCAATTGTCCTATTGATAGACATTTGGGTTGTTTCAATTTGGGAATATTATAAGCAGTGCAGCTGCGGACATTCTTGTGCACATGTTTGCTTGTGCACATGTGTTTCCCTAGGTAAGAATGGATATAAATTTGGTCATGTACAACTTCTCTATATAATAACAAACTGACTTCTGTTCAATAAATCAATTTACTTATCAATATGTCAATTTATTTATCCTTGCACCAAATAAGATACTGTTTATAAGCCTTAATATTTGGGAAAGCAAATTATTTCACCTGTTCTTCATGAATATGTTAACTGCCCTTGGCTTTTTGCTCTATGCAGTGAATTTTAAAATCAGCTAGTTTCATAAATTAAAATTTTTATTCAAGATATATAATCAATTTGGGAGATTCCTATCTAAGAATTCTCCATTTACTTAGATCTTATTTAATGTGTTCTAAGAAGGTTTCAATTTTCTCCATAAAAGTCTTGCAGATTTTCCGTTAGAATTATTTCTAGCATTTCATATTTTTCATTGCTATTGTCTATTGTAATGGTTGCCTTTTTTTTTTTTTTACAGCTTCTGATTTTTTTCTGGGGTATAGAAATAGAATTGATTTTTACTTATTGACTAGAAACTTATTAAACTTATCTTATGAATGGCGTCACTGGACTTATCAGGATGCTGTGACACCCCAGGAGTGCTACTCAGAAGAGCAGAAGGCCTACTTTTCCAGTCTGCCTGCCCAAGGATTGGCCCTGTGTGGCTTGGCTCAGCCCTCAGAGAAGCCTCGCTCTCCATACCCTGACTTTCCCTTCACCACACTCACCCCCAAGAAGCCTCAAAAGCTCAGCAGAGCCCACGGCCTCTCCACCTGGATCCCCTGTCCCTTGATACCTTTCTTCCCTGTGGGACCCCAATTTATGGTGGTACTTGATAGGCCTTTGGCAAAGCAAGAGGTTTCATTTTGGGTACAAGATGACTATTTTTGATAACGTGGTAGAGATCTTCCATGAAGATAACAAGGCTCAAGGAAGTTAGGTTTGGCCAAGGCAAGTCAAAAGCCCAGGAAGATCTAGAATTCTCATCTGCCTTCGAATATGGGACTCTTACATGTGTTACTATTTCTATGCAGTGCCCCAAGATGCTAATTTTTATAGGGCCTCAAGGGCAAACATCCCCTAGAATATCTACCTCATAGGGTTCTTGTGGAGATTGAATTAACACAGGTAAAACATTTGGGAAAAAACAAACTTGATTATAACACAGTGTATTAGTCCATTCTAATATTGATATAAATTTCTGACTTTCCAGTTTCAGGCTTTTTTTTTTTTTTTTTTTTTTTTTTTGAGATGGAGTCCCACTCTGTCACCGAGGCTGGAGTGCAGTGGCGCAATCTTGCCTCACTGCAACCCCTGCCTCCCGGGTTCAAGCGATTATCATGCCTCAGCCTCCCGAGTAGCTGGAATTACAGGCCTGCACCACCATGCCTGGCTAATTTTTGTATTTTTAGTAGAGATGGGGTTTCACCATATTGGCCAGGCTGGTCTCGAAATCCTGACCTCAGGTCATCCGCCCACGTTGGCCTCCCAAAATGCTGAGATTACGGGTGTGAGCCACCACACCTGGCCAGTTTCAGGCCTTTATATACAGTAACAACTATGAACATTCTTACACATGGATCCTAGTATTCATATTTCTAAATTTCTCTGGCAATATCGAGGATTAGAATTGTTGGGTTTCAAAGTATGCGTATCTTAAACTTTACTGATTAATGACCAAGTGTTTTATACATAGTTACACAATTTACACTCCTACCAACAGCAACTTCTTATCTCGTAAAGGAAGAAATTTCTCTTTGCTTTCCATTTGTGCTAAGCCACAATGGTGCATGTGCAATGGAATCTGATTTGCAATCCTGCATTATGGATTAGATTGAACATTTTAAAATAAGTTTTTTAGCCTTTTGGATTTCCTCACTTTTGCTGTTGCTGTTGTTGTTGACAGAGTCACACTCTGTGGCCCAGGGGCACTATTTCGGCTCATTGCAACCTTCATCTCCCGTATTCAAGGAGTTCTCCTGCCTCAGCCTCTTGAGTAGCTGGGACTACAGGCACGTGCCACCACATCTGGCTAATTTTTGTATTTTTGGTAGAGATGGGATTTCACCATGTTGGCCAGGCTGGTCTTGAACTCCTGGCCTCAAGTGATCCACCTGCCTCAGCCTCCCAAAGTGCTGGGAATACAAGTGTCAGCCACCGTGCCCAGCCAGGATTCCCTCACTTATGAAGTACCTGTTTTTCTATAGGAATGTCTGACTTTTTTTTTTTTTAGTTTTTTATATAGTCTGGATATGAGTCCTTTTGTCATTTACATGTATTGTGAACATCTACTCTGTGACTTTGTCTTTTAATGATGTCTTTTCATGACTGGAAGTTCTTAATTTTAATGTAGACATCAATCATGCCTTCTATAATTAACTTTTGGAAAAATGTGTAAGTAATCTTTTCTAACCCCAGACAGATTAAGATACTCTCCTATATTATCTAGTAAAATCTTCATAGTTTTACCTTTCATATTTAAATCTATAATTCTCTTTTAATTCAAATCTGCATAAAATGTGAAGAAGAGATTTTATTTCTTTTTTAAAATAAAGATACCAATTTTTGGCTGGGCGCCGAGACCAAGGGCTAAAGCTGGGAGACTGAAAAAATGCAGACCACTGGGGCACTGTTCATTTCTCCGGCTCAGATCCACTGTTGCACCAGGTGTCTAACCAGGCCTGTGTCTGCCTCCTTCTTGAATAGCCCAGAGAGTTCATCTAAACAGCCTTCCCACAGCAGCTCCCCACTCCAGGTGGCCAGACAGGAGTTCCAGACCAGTGTTGTCTCCTGGGACATTGACACAGCAACCAATTTATTGGTGCTGAGGCAGCCACAGTTGGTGTGGCTGGTTCAGGGACTGGCATTGGAATTGTGTTTGGCAGCTTGATCATTGGCTATGCCAGGAACCCGTCTCTCAGGCACTCGTCTCTCAGGCACTCATCTCTCAGGCAGTAGCTCTTCTCCTATGCCATTCTGGGCGTTGGCCTGTCTGAGGCCATGGGGGGTTCTTCTGTTTGATGGTCACCTTCCTCATCCTCTTCGCCACGTGAGGCTCCATGGGGGCCACCTGTCCGTCCCTGCTGCTGCGACTCCATGCCATTCCTGGTGCTGGGGTGTACTAAGCTTTACCATTAAACACAACGTTTCTAAAAAAAAAAAAAAAAAGATACCAGTTTTTCTCAGCACCATTTATTGAATAGGCTGTTTTTCACCCACTATTTTACAATGATAATGCTGTCGGCTTGGTTTAATACACCAAGACTTCCAGCACTGCACTGTTTTGATTACTACAGCTCTATAATAAACCTTGTATCTGATTAAACAGATTCTTTCACTTCTGTAACCATATTCATTATTCTTGACCCTTTGTATTTCCACATAAATTTAGAAACAATTAGTCACGTTTTATGCACACACACAGACACAGCCACACACACACACACACAGCCTGTTGGTATTTTTATTTGCCTTATTTGAATTTGTTCAGTTTGGGGAAAACTGGTATTTTTCAACACTGAGGCATCCAATCCTGACAATCATATCAATTAAGGTCTTCTTTAATTATTGTAAATAAAGTTCCACAGTCTTCTCTGTAGGGATTTTGTGTATCTTTTATTAGACTTATTCTTAAGTATTTCAATGGTTTTAATGCTATTGTAACAAGTATCTTTTAGGAAAAGGTATTTTTACTTGTTTGTGGCTGGTATCTATTTGTATATTGATTTTGTTTCAGAATTTAATCTAAGTTTTCTCCAGATTATTTATAATTTTCTATCTAAGCAATCATATCATCTTTGAATAATAAGAGTATTGGTTTTTTCCTAAGCCATGATGGGACTTTTAAAATGTCAACAATAATATGCTTAAAAGGAACTCTTAAAAAAGTGGAAAGACAAAATACCAAGCATTCAATGGTCAGCTTTGATTGATGTCTAGGCCTCAAAACAAAACACCAATCCCAAAATGGCCTCTTTCAAAGTAAGCCAAAATAGTTTATTCAAACTCAAACCTCCTGAAACTTTTTACGTTTTAACGTTTATTGTTACCTATAGTCAACCTATTGTGCTGCTGAACAATACATCTTTTTCCTTCTATCTAACTGTATCTTTGTACCCATTGACCAACCCCTCTTTATACCTCCTTCCCCACTACCCTTCCCAGCCTCTGGTAACCGTCACTCTACTCTATCTCCATGTGTTCAACTTTTAATTTTCAGCTCCCACATATGAGTGAGAACATGCAATATTAGCCTTTTTGTGCCTAGCTTATTTGACTTAACATGTCCTCCAGTTCCATCCATGTGGTTGCAAATGAGAGTTTTATTCTTTTTTACAGCTGAATAGTACTCCATTGTGTATATATACCACGTTTTCTTTATCCATTCATCTGTTGATGGACACTTAGGTTGATTCCATATCTTGGCTATTGTGAATAGTGCTACAGTAAACATGGGAGTGCAGACATCTCTTTGATATACTAATTTCCTTTCTTTTAAATATATACCCAGCAGTGGGATTGCTGGATCATATGATAGTTCCATTTTTAGCTTTTTTGAGGAAACTTTATACTGTTCTCCAGTGGTTGTACGCACATTCCCATCAACAATATACAAGGGTCACCCTTTATGTTCTCGAACAAACATCCCTCGGTGCTTGTTCTTTTTATAAAAGCTATCTTTACTGGGGTGAGATGATGTCTCATTGTAGTTTCGATGTACATTTCTTTGATTAGTGATGTTGAGCATTTATTCATATATGTGTTGGCCATTTGTATGTCTTCTTTTGAAACACGTCTATTCAAATCTTTCACCTATTTTAAAATTGGATCTTTTTTCCTATTGAATTACTTAAGCTCATTATATATTCTGATTATTAATTCCTTGGCAGATGGGTAGTTTGCAAATATTTTTCCATTCTGTGACTGTCTCTTCACTTTGTTGATTGTTTCCTTTGCTGTAAAGATGCCTTTTAGCTTGATGTGATCCCATTTGTCTATTTTTGGTGGAGGGTCTTACCTCAATGTTGATGGCTGCTGACTGATCAGGCTGGTGGTTGCTGAAGGTTGGGAGGCAGTGGCAATTTCTTAAAATAAGGCAACAATGAAGTTGGCCACAGTAGTTGACTTCCTCTCATGAAAGATTTCTCTGTAGCATGCAGTGCTGTTGATAGCATTTTACCCCTAGCAGAACTTCTTTCAAAGTTGGGGTCAGTCCTCTCAAATCCTGCCTCTGCATTATCAACTAAGTTTCTGTAATATTCTAAATCCTTTGTCATTTCAACAGTGTTCACAGCACCTTCATCAGGAATAGATTCCATCTCAAGAAAGCACTCAAGAGTCTCATGGGTGGGCTCAAAATAGTCAACCATGCTATAAAAAGATGTGCTGTCATTCAGGCTTTGTTATTCCATTTATAGAGCACAAGCAAAGTCTATTTAGGATAATCTTAATGGCCCTAGGATTTTCAGAATGGTCAATAAACATAGCTTCAAGTTACCAGCTGTATTAGCCCCTAACAAAAGAGTCAGCCTGTCTTTGAAGCACTGAAGACAGGCATTGACTTCTGTCTAGCTATGAAAGTCTTAGATTGACCGGGCGAGGTGGCTCACACCTGTAATCCCAGCACTTTGGGAGGCCGAGGTGGGCGGATGACCTGAGGTCAGGAGTTCGAGACCAGCCTGGCTAACATGGTGAAACCCCATCCCTACTAAAAATACAAAAAATTAGCAGGGCGTGGCGGGGCGTGCCTGTAATCCCAGCTACTTGGGAGGCTGAGGCAGTGGAATTGCTTGAACTCAGGAGGCAGAGGTTGCAGTGAGCCGAGATCGCGCCATTGCACTCCAGCTTGGGCAATGAGTGAAACTCCATCTCAAAGAAAAAAAGAAAGTCTTAGATGGCGTTTTCTTCCAACAGAAGGCTGTTTCATCTACATTGAAAATCTGTTATTAAGCATAGCCACCTTCTTCAGTTATCTTAGCCAGCTCTTCTAGATAACTTGCTGCAGCTTCCCTATCAGCATTTGCTGCTTCACATTGCACTTTTATGTTTTGGAGACCATTTCTTTCCTCATGAACCAACCTCTGCTAGCTTCAGGCTTCTGCAGCTTCCTTATCTCTCTCAGCCTTCATAGAATTGAAAGAGAGTTAAGGATTTACTCTGGATTAGGCTTTGGCTTAAGGGACTGTTGTGGCTAGTTTGATCTTCTCTCTAGACCATTCAAACTTTCTTCGTATCAGCAATAAGTCTGTTTCACTTTCTTATCATTCACATGTTCAATGGAATAGCACTTGTAATTTCCTTCAGTAACTCTTTTTGCATTCACAACTCGGCTATTAGCACAAGGGGCCTTGCTTTCAGTCTATCTCTGTTTTCAACATGCCTCCCTCACTAAGTTTAGTAATTCCTAGCTTTTGATTTTTTAGAGGCCATTGTAGGATTAATTATTAATTAGTCTAATTTCAATATTGTGTCTCAGGAGTTAGGGAGATCCAAGCAGAGGGAGAGACTGGAGAACAGCTGTTCAGTGGAGCAGTCAGGACACACACAACAATTACCGATAAAGTTTTCAGTCTTAGATGGGTGCAGTTTGTGGTGCCCCAGAACAATTACAATAATAACATCAAAGATGACTGATCACAGATCACCAAAAGTTATAATAATGAAAAAGTATAAAATATTGCAAGAATTACAAAAATGTGACACAGACACATGAGGTCAACACATGCTGTTGGAAACACTGTGCTAATAGACTTGCTCAATGCAGCATTGCTACAAATCTCTAGTCTATCAAAAGCACACTATCTGCTAAGTGCAATAAAACAAAATATGCCCATAATATCTACCAAAATTATATACTGATCTTTTGACCTAGTAATCCCACATGTAGTTTTTTTGTTTGTTTTGCAAATTATGCTAACAGAAATACAAAATGACCTATTCATAAAACTTGCAACATCATTGTGGTAGTAGAACACTAGAAACTAATGTTCATCAATAGGGGATTGGGTGAATAAAATAGAGTCCACTCACACAGTGGAGTACTCTGCAATTGTAAAAAGAAATGAAGAACTTATATACAGATATAGAGTGATTTCCAGAATATATTTTGAAGTGATAAAAGCAAGATTGTAGAACAGTAATTATTATATGCCAATTTTTCTGTAAGAAGGGGAGAGAAAAGTGTATTGCATATTGATATGGTTTGGATCTGTGTCCCCGCCCAAATCTCATGTTGAAATGTAAACCCCAATGCTGGAGGTAGGGCCTGGTGGGAGGTAATTGGATCATGGTGAGTTTCTCATGAATGCTTTAGCACCATCCCCCTGGTGCTGTTCTCATAAGAGTTCTCATGAGATCTGATTGTTTACAAGTGTGTAGCACCTTCCCCGTCTCTCTCCCTCCCTCCTGCTTCTGGCCATCTGAAGTGCTGGCTTCCCCTTCACCTTCTGCCATGATTGTAAATTTCCTGAGGCCTCCCCAGAAGCTAAGCAGCCACCATGCTTCCTGTGCAGCCATGCAGAACTGGGAGCCAATTAAATCTCTTTTCTTTATAAATTATCCAGTCTCAGGTATTTATAGCAGTGCAAGAAAAGACTAATACACGTGGTACCATCAGATTTAAAGGTGAGCTTACTACAATATCTAAAGATGCCTCAACTAATTTAGTTAAGCCTGCAATTGTTTTTGAACAAGGATAAGCCTTTGCTGCTAGATAGTTCTTTCAGAACCTTAAGGCAAAGGTAACTTGTTCAGGAGGTTCAAGAAAAGCAGCGGAAGGAACATAAAGAATATAAGTGGTGAATATGAAGCTGTGGAGACAGAGTGAGATTGTCTCAAAAAAAAAAAAAAAAGAGAAAAACTTAGAAGTTTTAGAAAGAAAAATATGTATCACACGGACCCATCAATATACAAATATACATAATACAAATATTATGTATCCATAATTAGAAATAAAAAATATTTTAAAGATCCTCCACCAGAAAAGATTACGACCCACTGAAGCCTCTGATGATCTTTAACTTTTTTTTTGTAAGCAATCATGTATTTTTAAATTAAGGTATGAACATTGTTTTTTTAGACATAATGCTATTGCACTTAATAGTCTACGTATAGTGTAAACATAACTTTCATATGCAATGGGAAACCAAAAATTCATGTGACTCACTTTATTGAGATAGCTGCTTTATTGTGGTGATCTGCAACCAAATGTGCAGTATTATCTGAGGTGTGCCTGTACTAAACTTCCCTCCATGGAGGTTGCAGTCATTTTTATATTCACAACAGACATACGTAAGAGTACATTTACCTACAGCCCCACCAGCAGAAACACTGTCAAATATTTAGATTTCTAATGATTAAAAATGGTAGGTTAGTGTAATTCTAATGAACTTTCTCTTTTAAGGTTGATAGTCTTACATGTTTAATGGTAACTTCTAATTTTCTGTGAACCATCTGGGAATTTTTCTATTAGGTTGTTTTTAGAGACTGGAGTTCTCCTTACACTCTAAATGTAAATCCTTTGTTTTGAGTTACATTTTTCTGTGACCTGTTTTTAACTTTGTTTATATTGACCTATTTTGTATTGTTCCATAAAAAAATCCACTAAGCTTTCAGTTGAAATTAAGTGTATTGGTTAAATTGATGAAAATTCACATCCTTTTTACATCTTTCTATTCATAAACATGTTAGCGCTCTCCATTTATTTTTCTCCTATACTGACTATAACGCTCTGTGAGAATTTTTTAATTGACTTTGCTCAATACTTAATGTGCATGCTTGATTTTAAGTTCCATGTTTTTCTATTTTTAGAAAACTCTCAACTCTTCAAATATTGCTTTCTACCCCCTTCTAGTATTTTAATTTTTCTCTCCAGATATCCTATTATAGGTTGTTGGATATTCATGTCCCATTTTTTACATCTCTTAAACACTTCTTAGTACTTTTCAATGGTTTGTGAGGGTAATTTTCTGAAATTTATCTATTAGGTCACTAGTTTTCTCTTCAGCCAGGTCTCTATTTTTACTTCTAGAAGTTCAACTTGATTCTTTTTCCAATCAAGCTTGTTTATTTTAAAAAGTCATGTCTATTATTCAGTATGAGTTCTTTCTTATATTATCTTTTTGATTGATCTATTATTTCCAGTTCCTGGAGTACACATTCTATTTACTTCATCTCTTTACTCTCCTCATGCCTTTTTATTTCCTCTTTTGCTCTTAACTAAGATCTTACCTTCAACTAGGCTGAGTCAGGGATCAACGTTCCAGCATTTTAAGGCTTATATATTAGCCTCAAATCCCTTCAACTAGTCTTTGGTATCAGTCTACACTTAGCATTATGGCTTTGGTTCTTAATTTCTCATATCTGAGGATTTCCAGATTATTCTTTTAACCTCAGTTATATATGAAAATTATTTCTTGGTTATATTTCATAAAGAAATGCTTGATGTTTCTGTTAGAAGAACATGCACTCTAAATGTAGTAGCTTACTCAGACATGGTACCAAAAGCCCTTAGAATTTTTATTAAGAACAGTGGCTAAGATTCTGTAAACAACCTTTTGGAACCTACTGATAAATCACATGTCTTTCTTCTTTAACTTGTCAGTGTAAGTCATATTGGTAAATAAATTTTCCGATATTGAACTAACCTTGGATTCTTGGAAAAAACACTATTGCATGACCTAAATGCCTTAAAGAAACTAAAAGTGCTCTTAATAAAAACCTAAATTATGATTTTCTCAATAGAGAAGTTAATTATATTTAATATCCATGCATGATACAGAATCCTAATTTTACACATGATACATGCAAACTGTCTTCATCTGATAACAAGGATAGTCTAAAAACCTAAGGCAGATAGATAACAGTAAAAAACCAGAAACATTCCCTTTCAAATTAAAATTAACTACCTGCTATATTTTGCCAGTGTATAGTCAATACATTTCTAGCTTTATTCCTTATCTCATGTCATTTCTTGTCTCTGGAAACCCCACTCTTTTGGGGGAAAATAACAGTTCCACCTCCAAAAAAATAACAATTGTGTATTTTCTGCCAGAAAAATGCATATATGCACATAAACACAAAATTTTGCATAAAACATTATAGGATTCACTATCTACATTTCTCAAAGTAGATTCCAGATTAAAAATTCCTAACTTACAGATAGCCTCGTAAAATAAAATGATCAAAAATATTACTGGAGGAAGGAATAAACAAGTAAGCAAGCAAGTACACAAAAGAGCATATGTTGATGCAAGCATTCATATTTGCCTATGAAAATTTCCTTGAAGAAATTAATACATGAGACATAAAATACACTTGGGTTTTAGGTATTTATTTACAAAGTTCTTACTAATACAATTGCTTTTAAAATGTAGCAAAGAGTCATTTACTACTCTCAGAAGTGGCACATACATGGCATAGAAAACAATCTATAGTCAGTTAACTATTAAAACAGAAACTTGAAATTTAAGTGACAAACATTTGTAGCACTCCCTAAAGAAATAGGAAATAAAAATGCATTTATCCATATGAACTTGATTATTCTGAATTACTGACTATAAAAAGGCTATTGTGAAAGATATCACACTTTGAAACAGCAAATGAATTTTCAATTTTACATTTAATTATAAGACCACAATAAAAAGTTGAACATGCGCATATCTATGCATTTCACAGAAGATTAGTAAAACTGATGGCAACTTCAGAATTATTTCATGAAGGGTACAAACAGTCTTTACCACAATTTTCCCATGGTCTTATCCTTCAAAATAAAATTCCACACACTATCAAACTAAATCAAGATTTGCTAGTGGATAAAATTACCATAAATATACCGTACTCTCTCTGAAACAGCTACAAACATCTTGTTTTTGCAAAATATACAATGTTTCTCAATCTTTCTGTCCTTATCTCAATTTGCAAAAATATTTTGAAACAATCTCCTTTAAATGTTATTCTTGTTAATGAGGGCAAATCTTTTAAAATCCACATGCTAGATCTTGAAAACGCTTGAGAAGAAAATAAACTGTGAAAGGAGTGGTTATTTAAATACTTCAAACTGCACATGTGAAACAGACCCACTATTTAATCAGAATTCTATGCAAGTTTTCATCCAGTATTATGATGTCATTTAATCTCTGCATAAATTGAGCTGCACAAATATCTATTTCCATAAATTCATTCATGGATACTATACAAATAGATTCACAGCAGTATTTGGCACCCGCCCATAAAATTTATTTACTCTATCAGGGTTGCAAAGCTACTAATATCAGCTGATAGCAACTTAAATTATTGGCCTTTGAATGACAGATTCAAACAAGAGATAAATTACATCAAAATCACTATCATTTTTTACATGAATTAACTTGAAAATGTAACAGGTAAACCTTACTCTTTCAAGAAGAAAAATCAAATAGCATAGTTTAGTGTTATTTATCTTCCTTCCAGCTTTCACCAAGTGCTAATTACAAGTACCATTTAAGTCAGTTTCTTATTTGAGTATGAGGTGTCTATACATTTCTATAATTTAAGATTTTGGTAACGCTTCATATCAAATGAGTTGTAGATCTACTTAACGTATGACTTCTCCTTTCAAAGAAGGAAGGAAGGCTGACAAGGGAGGGAGAAGGGATACCCTGTTAAGACAAAACAAACATTTCATATTTTAAATTTTCCTTTAAAAAAATTGTAAAATACAGTTCAGTATCATGCCTATTATTTTTACATTTTACAAATTACTGTAACAATTAAGTACAAGACATCTGACAATTCTAAACTCTTTAAAGTTAGGGGAATGGAAAAGGGAGAAAAAAGAAAACTATTATAGCATTCTGAGAACAAAGCCAAATAGCTAGACTAGTTAACTAGATATTAACTCAACTGAACAGATATTGGCCTATTGCTAGTAGTGATACCTAACTTTGTTTTATGAAATATTAATGATTCAGTGTTTCAGGTTATAAAAGAAAAAATTATAAATTGGCAAACAAGGTTTCTTCTTAGTTCATAAAGCAGAATTAAAAGGAATGAAATCACTTCATGGGAAATAATTTTCTAAAATTAAGTCATACACTCTCAAAGAGTGTTTGTAATATATGTACAACTCAGATGTACATATGTGAGTGTCAGAGTGTATATATGTATATATAATTTTGTTCCACTGTAATCTCAGCTACTCAGGAGGCTGATGTGGGAGGATTGCTTAAGGCCAAGAGTTCGAGACCAGACTGGGCAACTTAGCAAGACCCCCATCTCTAAAAAATATTTTTAAATAATTTTTAAAATTTCGTTCCGTATAAAAATTGAGTGAAACAGCAATCCTTCTGGATAACAGTGATTATTAAATTGCTAAGTTTTACATCCCTGAGAAGTCTTAAAAATTTTAAAATAAAACAACTCTAACAAATAACATGCAAAGACTCAAGAATAACTGTAAATCAAAATAAATTATAAGGCTACTGTTTTAACATATATAAATGGCTAACTGTAAGAGCTAGTAAGGTAATTGGCTTAAGTTCTCATCAACAAGGTTGTAAAATGAAGCATTTAAAAAGCTGGGTTGATGAAGTATAACCATTCAAGTATCAACAAAATGATGATATGAATGTATAATATAAAAGTTTACACTTTCCTCACATGGAACTTTTATGATTTGGCATATTAAAAGCATAATTTTCTATAAATGCTATAAATCTAACATTAAGAATCAGATTTGGAATATAAATCCACTACTCATGACAATTACTATTCTTTAAAATGATAATTTTCCTAAATAAGAAAATTTCTAATGGAACTTATTTTTTCTGGACTTAAGAAACTCTATTAAACCTAAATTGTTATTAATTCAAAGCAGTCATAACATTGTGAATTCCAAAGTTCCCACCCACCAAATAAGTGATTCCTTGGAGAAAAAATATGTTCCTTTTTTTTTTCCCGCAAATACAAATTTTAAATAGCTAATAAGCTCACATTAAACTTCATGAGGCTTGTTTCCATTAGTGGTTGGCAAATCTCCTAATTCTTCACAAATGTCAAAGATGACTTGGAAAGAACTTTTTTGAAATTTGAAAAATCAGTATTTCCTTCTAGTATCTCTGAAAAACTAGCTCGGAAAGCAGAATGACGTACAGATTGAAACCAGGAGTACTGAGAGCGCCCACCAGTAGAGTTTAGGCGCTGAACATAAACATGCTTAGTAAATCCAATTACATTGCTTGTGGAAACAGAATGGGTAATCTGTTAGAACAGAAACAAGCAATTGAGAAGATGACATTAATGTCTTGAAGGTATTTTAGCTGCTTCTTACATATGCTGTCTATTAAAAGTGACATAACCATAAATAAATTAATTTTCTAAAATTTTCTATAAAATTCATTTATTTTCATTTGAAAGATGAAAATGTTTACAATAGTTGCTACAGGTGGCTTCGAGAAAGCTATAATCTAATTTTCACAAATTAATGTTTATCTGCATTTGTCAATTTTAATTGGCCAAACTACTTTGCATATATTCATTTTATCAACTAAATGCAGCTTCTCTCCCATTGGTTAAGATTAATGTTGATGAAAAACCTGTATAAATACACTAATAGATTTAGCCATAACTCTTTGATGTGTTAACTGAAGACTTTAAGCAACTTTAAAATATATATTTAATGAGTATTATTTATGTGTCTTACCTGCGGAAATTTTATAAATAAAAAGAAATCACTTATAAAACTCAAGAGCACTCACAATGTGCCAGGTACTGTTCTAAGCACTTTACATATAATAACTCGCTTAATCCTTATAACTACTTAAGACTCACTTTACAGACAACGAAATTGAAACAGATTGTTAATAACTTGCCAAAACACATACAGCTAGTAAATAGCAGAGCAAGGATTTGAACACTAGGGTTCCAGAGTCCATGCTCTTAATCACCACCCAAATTGCCCCTCAGTATATAACATCATCTGCAAAAATGCAGTTGAGAGAATAAGAAACTTGCTACAGGACACACAGCTAAGAAATGACAGTCACTTGCTTTTCTTAACTTCAGTAGGTTAATAATTTTATAAAGAACAGATATTTCACTCAAATACTTAGTAATAGTAGTATTAAATATCTAATAATAATTCTGAAACTGTTGGAAATTTGGATTGTTCAGGAAACACTTTAAATATACATACATATATATACAATATACATGAATTTAGAACTCGTATCATCCTCTGAAATACAGTTTCAGAGATTATATTCTACTCATCACAAAAATAGTAAAAGGAATAAAACTCGGTCTCTGCTATGTCATTGGAACCGATCTGTATAAACAGAATCATAGCTATTTACATTAGTAAAGTGACAGGCCAGATTGAAACGCGTTTCTTTTCTCAGAGATTTTAGAACATATTTCAATCCCAGTAAAATTTCCTATCAAATAAACTACACATTAAGTATGTCTCTAGTTCATTCATAGTAGGGTTTTCTCAGTTGCCTTTACCCAATAAAGAGGTTAGAGGTTTGGATATAAATATTTAAAAAATGACGTATGATAGGATGCCAAGGTTTAAAGTGCACTAGGGGAGAACTCCTCTCCCCTAGCATCATGCTTTCCATGCTGATTCTTCAGTGCTAGTGTACAGAGCTGTGCTGTCCTTCCAGGAGCCACTAGCCACTTGTGGCTATGAAACCCCTGAAACACAGCCAGTCTGAAATGCAGCCAGCTTTGTAAGTATAAGGTGCACCCCACATTTTTAAGACTTAGTACATAAGAAAGAATGAAAATATCTCACTGATAATTTTACATTGATTCGCATTCAAATGATAATATTTTAGCATACTGGGTTAAATAAAATTATTAAAATTTTTTTAAAATGGAAGAAATATTTCCAATTTTTAGAAGTTAACAAATTCCATAACAACTTCATAAATAAGTCATTTACCCCATTAAATCAAAATAACTTACTGCTAATGATGATGTGCTAGAAAGACGACTCATTACATGCTTATCATTGCTGGAAGGACTTCTTCCCTCCACTGAGCCGTGGGATGTCATAAGAGCCCTTCGAAGAGCTCTTTTTGGAGTTTTGGAGAAAGAGAATGCTCTTGTAACCTAGAGTTTAAGTTACAATTAGTTAAACCTAGACAAATTCAATACAGCTGATGAGAATATTTAAACATAAAAAAGCCAAATATATGGCAAAAGTTTTTCTACTGTACTATGTGGCAGGATTAGAATCTCTTTGGCACAAAACAGTGAGGAAATTTGTAGACTATTTAAACTTTCATTTAGAGAGCACTGCAGTCCAATGGAAGGAGGAGGAGAAAAGAAATCTAGCCTGGGAGAGAAGAGACCTAAGTTCTTCTCTGATTCAGCCAGTCTAGTTGTGAGATTTCTAATCCAAAAATCCCCTCAACCTCCATTTCTTTATTGAAAGAGTGAAGGAATTCACTTGAATAATAATCTAACATGTTTTTCTCTTATACATCATAAATGTTAAATGATAGGAGATACAAAAATTATTAAAATACAAAGCCCCCCCACCAAGGGAAAGAAAACAAAACTTGTAAATCTAGCAGTAGAGAATATGGCTGTAAATCTCTCTTAGAACACTAAAATTCTAGTGCTACTTTAAAAAAGCCTATTATCAACATACTTATGTAATCCTCAACAACTCTGATAAGGTAAGTAAGTTATCTTCATCACGAGAAGACTAAAATAGACTTCTAGAGTCAGGAATAGATAGTCAGGTCCCCTGACTACCGTGTGCCCTTTGCTGAAAATAACTGTGGCGATATATTTAAGATGAGTGCACACATATTTAAATCTAAAACACCAACAGTACATTTCTACTGCAGGATAGTTCACAGAAGCATCATTATTACAGTAACGGGAGGGATAACAAGTTATAGTTACTGTGGCAAGGAAGTCACTGAAGTAAAACTATTGTTTCTGTGGGTCATTTCCTAGAACCGAAGAACAGCTTTGTTTTATAAACTATCTTTATACTGGTGTTTGCAGCAATATTATTTGAATATAGTCTGGAAAATATGTTAGAGATGTGCTAAATAATACTTTCACTAAAACTCACCTTTTTTGAAGTCTTTTTTATTGCTCTTGATGCTCTACTCAATGTACTGTCCATATCTTTTGTATTTACTTCAAAGGATTCTGGATCAGCAGTATAAATAAGATTCTCCTATTGAAAAATAATACTTTTTGTTATCTTAAAAACACACAACTGTTTCTAAAAATCAAACTTTTAAGCATATTTATATATGGGAGTATTTATAAATGAAGCTACTCAAGACTTTTCATGTGCTTGATATAACTTCTACCCTGAAATGTACTGACTTAAGGATAGTGAAAAATAAGCATTCAGTAAATGTGTAATTTGTTGTAAGGGTCATGGATACCAAAGCAATTGGAAATAGACCTCAAAATAAAATCTAACAACTCTGAAACAAGTTAGAAATTTAGCAGACTTAAACTTAATGCTGAAGTATAAAGTTGGCTACAAAACCAATACCACAAACACTGTTCTTGACATAAACTCAAATTAAGATTTAGACTTTCTCCTACTTTACCCTTTTGTCCTCAATCAGCATTTGTAAGGATTCTAAATCAGAGGTTCTAAACCTGTGATCAAGAGCCGGTAGGGTGACAATGAACAGAAATTGGGTGCAAAATTTTGTGTATACACGTGCAAAGGGCATATTCCTGAAGAGTGGGTTCACAGCTTGTATCACATTCCCAAAGGAATCAAAGACCTCATATAACCACAAGTCTACTGTGTACTTCTGTGAGGTCAGCCACTGCTGACATGCTGGGGAGGACAGGATAGGGTGGGAGCTGGAGTGAGATTGGTCAACAGGCACAAAGTTACAGTTAGAAAGGAGAAATAAGTTCTGTTGTTCTATTGCACAGTGGTGACTATAGTTGACAATACATTATTGCATTGTATATTTCAAAATAACCAGAATAGTGGATTTTGAAGGTTCACACCACAAAGGAATGAGTATATTAGGTGATGGATATGCTAAATACCCTGATTTGATCAACACACAATGTATACATGTATCAAAACATCACATTATGCCCCATAAATATGTAGTTATGTGTCAATTAAAAATAAATTTTTAAAAATACCTCATATAGGCCAAGAACCACTGAACCACTTAAACAAGACAATTAATTTCTAAGTAATTAAAAATATTACTTGCCCAAATTATGGTTGGATTTTCAGAAGAAAGCAAGTTAGACAAAATGATTTTGTATAGTCCTATAAGCAATTTGCACTTTAAATTTATAAATCTAGGCTATGAATAGCCAAATTGCCTTGTTATGCTGGCACTATAAGACTATTCATTCTGTGGTGACAGAGAAAAAACAACCTTGTGAAAGTTGTTTCTTCTGAAAATTTTTTCTATTTTAAAAATGTAGAATATATCTAGTATACCTAACCCATAGTAATCATAAGGCTAAAAGAAAATAATGCATAGAAGTACTTTGAAATGAAATGTTAAGCCTCTTTACAAAGTGTTAAATATTATACTCAACAATTATAATGCTTGCTTCAGCTCTCCACCACTGATAGATAGACAGCTTTTGTTATTCTAAAGCTTCCCTAATTTTGTCATTTGAACAACCACATCCCCTCTGCCTGCTATAGAACCTCTCTTTCCACTTGATCAATTTGCTAAATAACTCTAGGTTGCTTATCCTGTACAAATCAGTTAATAGTACTTGTAAATGTCAATATTGTTTCAATTTAATGTTACTTTTTGAGTTAAGAAAAATTCAGAAAACACGAATTACCCATAACTCTCCTAATCAATTACTATCTACACTTTGGTATATTTCTTAAGAGATATATTTCTACACGTATAAAATGTTCTTCATAACAAAACTGGAATATTATTCAGTTTTGTATCTTATGTTTTTCAATTAGCTGTAATTTTTTGTCTCAAAGGATTTAGTCTTAATGAAGAGCTGACAAATCTCTGATTATACCACAATTAATTTAATCATTCCACTATTTTTGAGCATTTAGAGTGCAGTAATGGGGAATTACTGTGGAATGGGTACACAGTTCCAGTTTAGGAAGATGAAAAAGCTCGAAAAACAGATGGTGGTGATATTGCACAACAGTATGAATATACTTAATGCCAATGAACTATATACTTAAAAATGGTTAAAACTGGTAAATTTTATGTTATGTATATTCTACCACAATAAAAAGAAATAAATGAAAGTATATGTCTTTGTATACGAAAATATTAAACCACATGTTGGTAATTTTCTATACTAGAACACTAGCGGTAGAAAAGCAGAATATGAAAAGTTCCTGATGGAAAAAGGGTATACTGCTTCAACCTATACTCTGTCAGAACAGGAAAGAATCTATCCTGCCTCACTAGCCCTCAATGGTCTCCTTCAATTTTTTTTTACAATGTGATTTGTAAAAACAATTGATATAATGCTATCTTTATCTGTATTGCTTTAAACTATTAGTTGGGTATATATTTTTTTCATGTTTTACAGATATTTTATATCAAATTTTATTGGAAAAGAGGTCTTCATTTCCTACACTTTCTAACTGGTTACTGCCAGCATAAAGGAAAACTCTTGATACTTATGCATTTATATTTTATTTGGCTGCCTTACTAAGCTCTGTTACTAATTCTAATAGTTTTTGGTTGGTTCTTGTGAACTATCTAGGTAATCGTTTGTAAAACAACTGAATATTTGATACCTTATGTCAATCTGTAAGAAACAAAGCACTGAGGAATGTGATTCAAGCTCTGCCACACATATCTGCAAGGTTTTACACTACTAGGATTTCCTATATCTCATAGTAGAGGGATCACATTTCCTATACTACTGTATATATGGATAAGCTCAGTTGTATCCTTACTTTTATGAACTTAATTGTGCTTTGATTTCATTCCATTTTTATTTCAATTTTTATCTCATTCAATCAACAGATATATACTAAAAACCTACTATTTGATAGAATTTCTTATGTCCATAAGATATAGAGGCAAATTCAGAAAAGAATGTTTTGACATTTAAATATATTTTCCTTAAAGAAAACAGTGATATGGTAATTACCCTGATTTGGTCATTATACGATGTATACATGCAACAAAACATAACACTTTACCCCAAAACATGTACAATTATGTCATTATAAATAAAATGAATTAAAAATCAAAAGTATATTCTTCTGTTATGTTTTATTTTTAAACTATAAAGTAACTTATCAATGCTCCTTTCAATTGGTAAACTTATGACTTTTTTTTTCAACTGAAAGCTGAAAGATCCAGTAAAATTAGCTGGAAAATAATTAAAAACAGTGATAATTTATTAACTGTGACTGATTACAAAATAACACACATATACCAAAGAGTCACCTATTTACAAAACAGCTTAGAAACAGGTAAAATATCCATTTATGACTGCATTCTAAAGAGAAAATTACTTAGGAATAAATCTAATAAATACATTTTTGGCCAGACATGGTGGCTCACACCTGTAATCCCAGCACTGTGATAGGCCCCCAGGGGGGCAGATCACTTGAAGCCACAAATTCAAGACCAGCGTGGCTGGCCAACACGGTGAAACCCCGTCTCTACTAAAAATACAAAAATTAGCCGGGCATGGTCGTGCACGTCTGCAATCCCAGCTACTCAAGAGGCTGAGGCACGAGAATCACTTGAACCCAGAGGTAGAGGTTGTAGTGAGCCAAGATTGTGCCACTGCACTCCAGCCTGCGTAACAGAAGCAAGACTTTGTCTCCCAAAAAAAAAAAAAAAAGAAATACATTTTTGAAGAATGTACATATGTCTATGCTTATATTTCTAGAAAGTATCAAAAGTCATACCCCTAGAAAGACAGATTAGCCAGACAGGGGTATGAGACATATTTTACTGCAGTATACTGTTGTATATTTGATCTTTTTTCTTATGTGCAAATATTATCCTTCAATTTAATAGACAGTAAAAATCATAGCATGACTATTAAACTAAACATTGGTAAGTTACTCTTTGATGTAAAATGTATCCATTTTTATATGTAATGAAACTAAACTCCAAGTGTGTTTAATTTTGCTGAAATGCTCTTTTAATGAAGGCCCCTGAAATTTAAATCCTTAGCAAATGCTAATAAAGGAGCTTCTCATTTTTTTCTATTGTTATCTTAACTATGACTAAGTATTAATAACCATCAATGAACTAAAAATGGAACCAGGGGCTTCATGCTTTCTCTCAATGAACTAACAAACTGCTTCTGACTTAGGGGAGGGAAAGATAGATACAAGATTTTTTACCTTTCTAGAAGATTCTGAGTTCAGAATGACTGAAAGGGTGAACATATTGCTAGTTCACTAGTGGCTAAGAATATAATAAAATATATTATTTTTGCTAAGATACAAATATGAAGTACTTCCTTTAGTGCTCTCCGCACAGAGGAAGGTAGATAGGGTAAATCACAGGCAAAAGTGCAAAGTCGGGGAAACTTATCTTCAGTAGTCCTAGGTTTATTTGTTATTCATTCTTTCTCAATAATTCTCATTCTCTCTTTAAAAACAAACAACGAAGACAAAAAACTTTCTGCTTTTTAGTCTATTTCCCTAAATTTCTAAAATATAATATGTACCAGGACAAGGACGAAAAAATAAAATAAAATAAAAGTAAAATTGATAGATTAGCCAAAACTCATTTTTATTTTTATTTACTTTTAAGTTCTGCTGGACTTGAGAACACACATTTTTAATAGATACTTACTATAATTCCAAAAACATTTTCTGACTTATTCAAAGTATGTCAAGCATTAAAGAAGCTTTGGAAGGGCAGGAGTTTTTCAATCAACTCCAAATTCACATGTACCTGAAGACAGACCTGCTGAGTTCAAGATTAAAAAGTAGTAGTCAATCTTTCCCACTGAGATATATAATATTAATTTCAGGAGAAACTGAGCCTCAGCTATAGATTTTGAAATCCTATTCATGGGTGTTAATTCCCAGGAAATTTTCTAGCATTTGACATCTTAAGCCAATTAACCTGTTTACTCGTGAGTTATGAGACACTTCTCCCCTTTCCCTAAGCTCTCCTCTTACCCTAGTCTTCAAACCCCCAGATCCTATCTACTATCACGTGTCCCCTCCCTTTAGCCTGTGCCTCAGTGTTTTCCTCAAACTCTATAACTTAGAGCTTCTGATTTGGCCAAATTAAAGTGGTATCAATAACAGACATTTATACTAACAACTTACTAGGTATGCCTAATAAATGGAAGAATAATTATAGTTTTAAATACAAATCATACTAACTTCATTATAAATATTATTGGCATACAAGCACAAACTTTTAATATATGTCCAATCGTTGGTCTATTTCTCATGCAGTTAGAAATTCTACTTACAAGTTTAAAAACTCAGAATGAAGATTGCAACTCTTAAGTAGCCAATGGTGATTTATTTAACCATTGTAGGATAAGTTTTGAAAAGTTTTGAAAAATTTCAAAAGAAATATAAAGGTAGCGGCAAAAGTACTAAATTGTAGCACATGGCATTTAATTATCAAGTTACTTTTAAACTAACCAAACTTCGGGAAAGGTTATCGTTGCTTAAATTTACTTATTAATAAAATTATACTTCTGACATTAGAGGTCAGAAATCATAATGGCCTCCACAAAGCTACCAGCTTATCTTAGGCAATATATGAATGTTAGAGTACAGACCATGCAATTAAAGGTTACATGTTGGCAAGAGACCAAAAATACATACATAAGGATTCTGAGACATAAGATCTTCAATAGATTTAAACTTTAATCCTTAGATTCTGAAATAACAAAATATGGGACATGACATCCATGGGGAGAAAGTCGATTAAGATGCTTCGACCAAGAATCAGTCAGTCATGCTCTTGGCCTTAGGTTCAAACTTAATGGTATCAGATTAACTTTTCTTTCAGCCTGATAATTTTAACTCTTACATCATTAATGAGCGGACACGACAAATGAAATAGTATAGAATAAAATAGTTGTGCTTATTAGTTGTGCTTATTTTACTCTTTTAATTAAGAAAGCTCAGGTTACTTAGGGTACCAAAAAATTATATATATACAGGGTACCAAAAACAAAAATTACTAATTCAAAGAATCAGAGATTTTTATATCTTTTTACATCTTTCACGTGTGTGTGTGCGTGTGTGTGTGTGTGTGTGTGTGTGTGTGTAGATATACACACACATTATCTTCACAGGAAAAATTCTCAGGGCTTTATAAACATTTACTATATGTAGAACTTTAAACGCAGGAAAGGGCTCAACCAAAGTCACCGAGTACCTGAATTTACAAACGTATTTCTTAAGAACAAAATTTCAATAGATTGAAAGAATTTTGTAGTGTAAGGATAAGTCAGAACATAGTTAAACGTTTGCTGCCATCTTGTGGCTAATTTTACTTATGAATTTCTTCCATATGTTATTATATTTCAGTTCTAGTACTATTAGCCATCATGTGGCTAGTAATTCAATAGATTATAAGAAAAATTTTCTGTTAATGTTTCATTTCAGTATTAGGGTTATAAGTTTGGAAAGGACTCTATAAACTATCTAGTCTGACATTCTGATAAGAGCAGGAGTAATTTCTGCATTAAGGAACTTCTACAGATAAAACCATTTTATATATGGATACCTAGAAAAAGTGGATGGATACCTACAAAAAAAAACCTTACAATGAGCAGTTTTGAAAGATTTATAACAAAAGTGGTCTCCATCATTTTTCTAGCTAGCATTCTATTGTATTTGTTAGCATTGTATTTCCCTCTCTGAATCTTTTGTGCAACAATTTTTTATTTATAAGAACATATTATTGGTCCATAGAAATCTAAACACACACACACACAAACAAAAAGTCTGATTATTGTTCTAAATACTTTGGAAGGAGGTTTTCATCAATGAATACTTACTTTATAAACCACATTAAACCTAAATGTCTTCCAAGGTTTCACACTTAACTGTAATTACATGTTTCATTCCCACAGAAACACCCAATGCAATCTCAGTTACAGTACCATTGTACCGAAAAGGGTCATCTATTATATCCATATATTCTCTTCAATCTATGTCATTTGTGCAAAGAGTAAGAGGTCTATATCTGTCTATCACATGTGTCTCTCTCATATATAGAGAGGAAGAAATCAAATTATCTTTTAGGGACCTGGATTTCATCCAGGGATACCTGATTTCAGGCAAGTCATTTAACTTCCCTATTTTGATTCTCTCATCTATTTTCACTTTAATCTGTATAGTATAATGATAATTATATATTTATGATAGCATTTCATTTTTAAGAGGTTCACATGAGAAAAATAGATTGGCAACTTTCATTTTCAACTTGCTTTCAATAAGATTTTTTTTTTTTTTTGGCCAGGCACGGTGGCTCACGCCTGTAATCCTAGCATTTTGGGAGGCCAAGGTGGGCAGACTGCCTGAGCTCAAGAGTTCAAGACCAGCCTGGGCAACACAGTGAAACCCCATCTCTAAATACTCTCTAATTTTTAGCCATGTCTAAGAGTATCAATGAAAAATCACAGGGTACATTACAAGAAGTCCCAAAATCTTCACTGAATCAGAGCCACAGGGGCTATAAGACTATGAGGGCCTACCTTATGTAAGCCAAGAACTCAAATAATATTTTGTGTACCTACACTATATAAAATATTTTCTAAAACAACTTATTACATCAGTTTTTTTAATATACACAAAACTAAAACTCTCCATTCATAATAAACAAGTCATTAAAAATGTACAGGTTTAGTCTGAATGCACTGTCATGAAATTTAAACTTTCATTATAATACTGTTTTAAGAACTTACAGCATCTGCTTTACAAATGGTGTTAGCTACATGTCGACACAGCATCTTTAGCCAGTTTTCTTTTGGAAGTTCATCTGATGTCATCTGGAAACTGAGTAGCACATTTGCCTGCTCTGTTGGTGGCCTCACAAGCAAGGCAAAAGCATTATGGCAATCTAGGGTTCCAGAATAACCATAAACATTAAGTGTCACTCCTTGGAAAATGACAGATGTATGCAAGTTTAGTTCCCTCAGAGCAATGAAATTCCAATGAAATGAACTATCACTTCTCCACTTTCCTTGTCCTATTTTTAATAAGACAAAGAACATCACCATATTAAGTTGAAGTACTGAAAACACAATATAGTATACCACGTAAGGAACTAATGATGATGATAAGTTAATGACATTAAGTAAACAGTATTATCCATGTCATTTAATATTTTCTATGATAAAAATATTAAGTGTTACAAAAGTTGCACGATCAAGATGCTAAAATACAACCTATTTTAAACAAAGTCTGCCATAATTAAAATCCAAAAATGAAGATTTTTAAAACAAATATATAGTCAGCCTTCCGTATCTGTGGGTCTGCATCTGTGGATTCAATCAACTGCTGACCGAAAATAGTAGAAAAAAACAGTAGAAAACAGATTGTATCTGTATTGAAAATGTACAGACTTTTTATTCTTGTCATCATTCCCTAAACAATATAGTATAACAACTGTTTACACAGCATTTACACTGTGTAGGTACTATAAGTAACCTAGAAATGACTTACAGTACATAGGAAGATGTGTATAGGTTACATGCAAACACTATGCAATTTTACATCCAGGACTTGAGCATCCCAGATTTTGGTAACCAAGGGAGGTCCAGGAACCGTCCCCCGTGGATACCAAGGGACAACTATACTATGTAACCTTTAATAAATCCAGAATTTGTCAACTAAGTGAAAAGAGCAGGAAGTTGCTGTTCAAGTTTTCTTTAAGAATCATTTCTTGGCGGGGTGCAGTGGCTCATACCTGTAATCCCAGCACTTTGGGAGGCCGAAGTGGGTGGATCACTTGAGGTCAGGAGTTCAAGACCAGCCCGGCCAACATGGTGAAACCCCGTCTCTACTAAAAATACAAAAAAATTAGCCAGGCATGACAACACACGCCTGTAATCCCAGCTACTCAGGAGGCTGAGGCAGGAGAATCCTGGCGGGAGCTGCAGTGAACCAAGTTTGCGCCACTGCACTCCAGCTTGGGTGACAGACTAAGACGTCATCTCAAAAAAAAAAAAAAAAAAACCCACAAAAAACAAAGAAAGAATCATTTCTTATAAAGGAAAAAAAAAAAAAAAAGAATAATTTCTCACAAACTGAAACCTTTCATTATTAGAGGAATCAGTAATGGAAAGAGCTAAATATTGTAAAAACATATGCCTAACATCCAAAATATGGCCATGCACATACACCACTGGGTGTCAATTAAACAGATGACACTGTTGTAGGTAGGTATAAATTTTCAGCAATTTCAGGCCTTCAGAGAACCTGCTCTGTAACACTACCAAAGTTTAGAGTAAAACATTCCTTAATACACATATGACTCCATATCAAGTCTACCAGTTACTCTGAGTTTATTTATTGCACCCACATCTATTCCTGACCCGTACCTTAAACATAGCCCTAAAAATGCAACTGTTGGCCAACAGTGAAAGTGTTAAGATGAGGGGTGCAGGTAACAGACTGGTTATTTTGTATTCTGAAGGAACCAAAAAAATAAATTTTGGTGTGGCAATAGGCTAGGCTAGGGTGCTATTTTAATACATAGCCATTTAAAAGCTCTTTGACCTTTAACAGATGAGGGTATCCTATAGGTTGAGATAGTACTTTCATTTGAGAAAACAAAAAGTCAGTTCTGTTCCTAGAGATGGAGATGGGATAGAGGTGCAAGAACAATTACTTTAGCAGTCTGACCAACTATATTTAAAGATAATTTACCAATTTAAAAAAGCCAAAATGGAGTAAATTAAACCTACAATGAATATAAACTATTTTTATATAACCAAGAATGTATCCGACCGGCATACCTTCTGTCTCTCTTATGTCCAATACCTTCTTAATCTGAGAAAGAGGCATTAGGTGAATATGCTTAAGAGAAGCTGGGGGTCGGGTTTGGCCATGAGGACTCCTAAAAGTGCCAATAACCTTGTGCCGTTTTCTTGCTATCTGATTATAGAAAATAAAAAAGTATCAGTCAATAAAATGAAGAAAAAGGACCAAATACTTAAAAAATAAAATAGCACTAATCACATAAATCTATATATAACTTATTTAGTTATTATTCGTTACAAAGTTGTTATAAGCAGAGTTACTATGTAACAAAAGTCAAACATGTAATTGTATAGCAGAAATGTTCATGTTTATATAAGAAGAGTTCAAAAGTCAGGAAAAAAGGCCAAGGGATATTTTGCAAAAGGTCCCAGAGGTATGAAAGAACTAGAAGCATGATGAGAAGCGACAGGATCAAGGAATGACAGAATCTTAAATGAAACTCCTAGAATTCAGGAGAAGAGGAACAGTTGGCTAAGCAAAACAATTAAATGATTTTAAGCTTAATTTTTAGAAAGGAAAAACAATAACAAGTGTTAATTTGATGACAAATGCTAGTACAGAGTTTAAAAAAAACCCTTAAAATACAGATAAAACATTTAAAAGTTAAATATATCCTTAAATCCCAAATTAGTTTCAGTATAACATAATCTGTCATTAAGAAAACATAGATTTTACCCATTTTGAATGTTTCTACCATTTATTATTAAATAGGATGATGGCTATAGGTTTTTATCAGGTTAAGAATGTACCATAATTTCCATTGCCAATTTACTAAGAGTTTTGTTTATTTTTCCTAAACAAACAAGCTAAAGAATAAGTTTATTTAAGATTATAAGTTTTTATTTTATATTTATTATGAATTCTGAAGTCCAAATTTAATGTTATAAATAAAGCAGTTTTTGTTGAAGTGATTCTAAGACAGGGAGGCTAAAAGGGATAGAACAAAAAAAAAATCAATAGATTCAAGAAGGTAGGGAAAATGAGAAGCCAGGGACTTGGGAGCTACAGGAGACCAATACCAGAAATTAAAGTGAATGGCAAGTCAATGAACCAATTACAGAAGACTGCGAGGAATCTGGAGGGGATATAAGATCAAAAATTTAAAGTAAGCCATAGCTCTCAGGAATAAGGGATAAAAACCAGAATGGATTAGCAAAGAAATAAAGATAATCTAACCTATTAGATGAATGGAGCAAGCTGACCTAGGGACTCCAACAGGAAAAACCTATAAAAGCTTTAATGGAAACAAACAAATAAAGTACAGAGAAACTATATACAGTAAAACCCCATGATGATGCGAATCCAGATAAAATATAATTGAAAATTGACTCTGCCTAGCATCTGTTCTCAATCAGGGCAGGCTAAAGTCCTTTTTATGAGGGAAACAGGTAGTTGAGAATTATCTGTCTCATGATTTTTTGACTTTCTCACTTCAGGAGACAGTCAATTGTGTACAGTAGTTTGACTGTCTTTACTTTTGTGCTTTTTGCAACATGATTGACCAAAAAAAAGTATTTTTCATTTAGCCTCATAACAACAAAACTCTGCATTTAACACAAGTGAATTTCTGGTGAGATTTTATTATACCTGTAACTGTTCTGCACATGAACCGCTCTTTAAGATTCCCTTGTATTCTATACTATAAATAATAATGTATATGATATATAAGAAGGCAATACTTTGATAGAAGTAGGAAAGGACAAAAGGAAAGCATATAAGACTTTAAAGAAAAAGGAGGCAGGTGCAGTGGCTCACGCCTGTAATCCCAATGGTAATCTCAACACTTTGGGAGGCTGAGGTGGGTAAATTGTTTGAGTCCAGGAGTTTGAGACCAGCCTGCGCAACATGCAAAACCAGTCTCTACTAAAAATAATTAGACTGGTGTGGTGGCGAGTGTCTATAGTCTCAGCTACTTGCGATGTTGGGATAAGAAAATCACCAGAGCCCAGGAAGTCAAGGCTGCAGTGAGCTGTGATCTTGCCACTGCACTCCAAGCTGGGCAATGAGAGTAAGACCCTGTCGAAAAAAAAAAGAAAAACGAAAAGAAACAGAAACAGAAACAGAGAAAGAGAAAGAAAAGAAAAAGAAAAGAAAAGAAAAGGAAACTCCTTAATCATTTTGATGAAGGTAACAGAAAGTTTCCAGTGACAGAAAAGTCAAATGAGTCATCTTATTAATGTCTGTTTTATCAAAATGAACATTTTTCTCTTCTGAGATGAAGGAAAACCGCACTTCTTTTTATCCCTCACTACTGTTGTTTAAAAATACATATTAGAGGGATGAACAAGTTAAAACACACACATGTAATTCAATTTGCTTGCAGGGGTAATACAAAAAGAAAATCTAACTTGAATAAGAATTTTAGAATTAGATTCATTATACCCCACCTGACCCCTCATTCACTCTAAAACCTGCTGATTTAAGAAGAATCAAGGAATCATAAAGAATTTATAATAGTAAATTATCAAGTTATCTCCCTCTTCAACAAAATACAACCACATCATTATTGGAAAAAATCTACTGAAATTTCAAAAAACTCAGAATTATTTTACAAATCTTGAATAAATATACATAGAAACAAGAAGTTATCAGATTTCTTGACCTAAGCATTTATTTGCATGGAAATAAATTTTCATTTTAACTTAGATTTGAAGTCATGAAAACTTACACTTCTTATTAGACCTTCCTCTAAAAGCATTCTATTAACAGTATTAAATCATAAATTGTCCTCGATTTTTTTAAAAAAAGATTACTTGAGTTTATTTAAAATTCTACATTACTCTTCAATTAAAGCTTGGTTTTAAATATTCAGGGAACTTACAAAAATCAGTAGTGTTATTATACTATGTGAAGTACATCTTTACCTCTAGGCAATCATTGAAGAGGAAGAGAGTTACTTGTTCTCCTCTGTCACAGGGGTGCTCACCTAGAGAAATTGTTTCAACCCGCTGTACTAAGCTTCGGTGAGAAGATAAAAGATTAGCCTGTATAGGTTGAAAATATAACAAAAGAGATCACTTGGTATCAAGTAATTTTTAAGAAGTTGTAATTTAAAAGAAAGTAGTGCCAAGATATTATTTATATTAAAACCACAGAAACCTCATTAACAAGAAGAAAATAAATTAATAATTGTTAAAGAAGAATACTTACTGGGCATCCATCTACTTCATAAACAACATCAAAAATTTGCTTTTGAGCTTCTGTTTTTCTCTTATCCTCATTAATATGCCTGAAAAATAGTTATTTTTAAAACTTTTAAAATAGAACATGAAAACTACAACAAACACAACTCATGTCACAAGTTGTGTTTGATGTGAATGTCTTATTTTGATAAGTGAATCAGTTAAAATATTCCTTAAAAGTATCCCATTACATTAAAAAGGTTTCCATGCCTATGGAGCCCAGGATGAGGAAAACAAACAAGCAACTTCCGGCCAGGTGCGGTGACTTGCGCCTGTAATCCCAGCACTTTGGGAGGCCAAGGTGGGTGGATCACTGAAGTCAGGAGTTCGAGACCAGCCTGACCAACATGGTGAAACTCTGTTTCTACTAAAAATACAAAAATTAGCTGGGTATGGTGGCAGGCACCTGTAATCCCAGCTACTCGGCGGCTGAGGCAGGAGAATCACTTGAACCCAGGAGGAGGAGGTTGCAGTGAGTCAAGATCACACCATTCCACTCCAGTCTAGGCAACAAGAGTGAAACTCCATCTCAAAAAAAACAAAAACAAAAACAAAAACAAAAACAAAACATCCATAGACTCCTTCAGAAAAGTATGTTTTACTATTATTCCTTTCTATATTCTTTACTATACTCCCTATGCACTTTCTAAAATACACTAAACCTGTACAAAATTAAGACTAATAAAATTTTGAAGTTCTCAATATAAGTTCAAATAAGGTTTTATGTAAGTCTTACCAAGTCATAGGCTAATCATTTCACTGAAACAAAAACTAAGGCTACTGCTTCAGACAAGACTGAATAACAGGGAATGAATTTACTTTTCTGACTGAAACAACTAAAAAAATTGGTCAAAATACAAAGAAACAAGGGTTCTCAAGACACTTAACATCCATTTCTGTGAAACAGAAACAAGCTAAGCCCTACAACTGTCCTGGCTTATAGCCTAAAGAAAGTTTCTTCCCTGCAAAGAAAGCACAGATAGTGCCTAGCTATATCCCTAAGAGAAGAAGCAAATGTGGGAGTCCAGTGTGATCAGATGCCTAGTCCGCAGGGCAAATTACTGGAAAACAGCTGTACAGAGAGAACTCCTGTTTTCAGAAGGCTTCCTTATGTACACAGTTCTCAACCTGATCACTGTATGCGTGTAAGAAAACTATCCGAGGTTAGGGAAGACACGTTAAAAAATCAGAGTTAACAGTGCTCAGTGCTCATATGGCATGGAACAGTGATATCAATCAGAGTGGAAAACTTCAAGATTAATGTGACATCAGGGTAGAGTACTAAGATCTTTCCTCAACAGTGGGGAAAATTAACCTTAGACTAAATACTGTTCTGATTCTGCCTAACAAAGTTTAAGAGTAAGACATGAAAATATCAAACTGTTTGCAAGCTACTTAACTGCATGCCAGGAAAAACTCAAAAACATTTTTAAGAATACAAAAATATCTAGCTCTCAAAAAAGTAAAACTGACAATGTCTAGAATTCAATAAAATAATACCAGGCATGCAATGACAGGAAAATAAGACTAATGAGAAAAAAAAAATTGAAACAGAGATAAGTGAATTAGTAAACAATTTAAAGTTATTATATTCACGTCATAAATTCTAAAAACTGCAAGAAAGATTGAACATTTTAAGCAAAAACATGAAAGATATTTTTGAAAGATCTTATTTACTGACCAAATAAAAGTTATCATTTTTTGTTAGCCTCATAACAACAAAATTCTGCATTTAACACAAGTGAATTTTTGGTGAGATTTGATTGTATCTGTAACTGTTCTGCACATGAACTGTTCTTCAAGATTTTCTTGTAATCATACCATAAATAATAATGTATGTGATATATAAGGCGGCAACACTTTGGCAGAAGTAGGAAAGTACAAAAGGAAAGCATATAAGACTTTAAAGAAAAAGGAAGCAGTGGTCATCATTTCTGATGACCCAAATCAGTCATACAGAGATGGAAGCTACAATGTTTTATATGAAAAATACACTGGATGAGAATAACATCAGAGTAAACACTACAAAAGAAAAGCTTAGTAAAATTGAAGATAGCAATAATGTCAAAGTCAAAAATAAAATATAACGATAAATTTCTCATTTTACTTTTTATTGGGGAAGAAAGAATTATAATTCAGGGCATACATACTGACCAAGTGGTCTTCAAATAATAAAGTCTGTTCTAATAATAAAGAGAAGGTTGGGAGTTTTATTAGAAAAAAATGTTATTATGTATTGTTTTTAAAGAAAGCTCATTGACACTAGTAAAGTTTTGGGGAACTGGCAAGCTGAGTGGTGAGTGATAGTGGTGAGTAAAACTAGTCAGAGTCATAGCAGGTTGCTTTAGCAACTATTAAGTAAAACCAGTCTTAGGATTACACTAGGCCATTTTAAGCAGCTGGGCTTATGGAAAATTTAATTATTAGAACAGCTACCACGCGCCCCAAGTGTTTTTCCCCTCTGTCCCTCAACTCTGATTTAATTGGGTATAACAAGAATGATCCAATTTTGTATAATCAATGCTCACATTTCCCCCCTTTGATCAAGATCTTTCTCTGACAGCAAAGCTAATCAATCATCTTGAAGGTAGGCTTAATTGTCCCTCAAGGCCTGGACAAACCTGTCCTGGTTGTCTCTATCCCACATTGTGGGGAAGATATAGAGGGTCTATGTCAGGGAGCTGGGCCACATTTGAGTAACAAAGAGGACAGAAAGGAAAATTTTCTCAGGGCAGGTTTGCCTGAAGTCCAGCACTGAGTTCCATCTTGTTAATTCCATAGGTATTAGCAGCCATGTCAAAGTGTTAAGAGAGTTGGCTTTACAAAGATTAGACAAGCAATAAAAACAAGGCTTAAAAATCATAACACAAAAAATAATTAATATAATAAATTTAGTGTGTACAATCGTTTTGAAACAGAACACAAGCCTGATGGCAACTAAACAAATCAAAAGACCATTGTGGGTACTGGATGAGACTAATTGTAGCCATTGAGTAGTATTTTAGAACTGGGTTGAATTAAAGCAAAGAATGCCAACTCTACAGAAAGGACCACCAGTACATTTTGAACAAAAAGTTGTGTTACAGATATTGCTAAAGTTACTAGTGGAATAAAAGGATTTCTTAGGTCAGGTTTTGTCAAGTTACTTATAGCAGTTACTGATTGTGAAATTTAATTACAGCATTATTTTGTCAAGCCAAAAAGATAGGCATCAAGAGGGGTAGGAGTGTCATCATATGGAGTCTTGCCTCATTGTCTTGGGAAAGGCTGTCTACAGCATTAAAAAAATGTCACTTCTTGCCCTGGTTTGCAGTTTGAATGTCTCTGATTAAAGCATAAGATATTTTGGTGAACTTTTTATGTGGCCCATGCATCAGGCACAAGACTTGTTTCTTAAAATTTATCTAGTTTCCGTTGATAGGGCTTTAGAAACAGTACAGTTCCCATTTTTAGCAATTTTATGGAAGACAGCTGGATTGGAGAAATCTGGAAGAATTTAGGATCTAGACTATAGGTAGATAACAAGAACTCAAAAACAACCAACAGAGCTACAATCTAACAACAGGTGTATTACAGCTTTTTATTAGAAATATAACTTTTTTTCTACACTGATCACATAAAAATTTCAGATTTTAAAACCTCTTGAGGCTAGGAAACCAAACCAAGGCAGACTTTATATTTTACTTACAGTCTTAAGGTTCCTGGGTCTGCCAAGAAGTGGCAGTTTTTAATTTACTCACTGTAAGGCTAGGAACCTTTGAAGTCAGGCATTTTATGCATATTGTCAAATATGACATTTCAGTCAAAGCCTTGGTAATATAACCAATGTTTTCAATTGTATTCTGCTATAAAGAGAGAGCAGATTTCTATTAGACTTATGTAAATAACTATATTGCTAAAAGAATGCTCAAAAAGTTTTCAAATTGTGGAGGAATCAAATAGAAAAAATAAATGTTCTATCTATATTTACAAAAGCATACTATATCAAACTGTTGTAAATTATAGATAGCTTGAGAGAGATTTTCTTAAGTCTGGAAAACAAAACATTTGCATAAAGAACCAACAATATTTTAAATAAAAGTCATTAAAACATTATCTTCATCAGTTATTCAATCTTGTATAATTCATTTTTATTCTGCTTGATCTCGATTAGTAGTTTCGTGAATCCAACAGTTTTTTAAATTAGAGTTTTGGAAATTTTTATCAATTCCATTGATCTTAAAGTTATCAGAAACTTGACTTTAGGGCACTTGTTGGATAGAATCATTTTCATGATTATGTTTTTAGGGAAGAATTCAAAACCCTAACCGGATGACAAAAACTTAGACTAGCCATAGTTTAAAAAGCTGGTGAAAGTTTGCAACTGACAACAAAATTTAGTTATCTCTATTAAACATGGCATTAAGATAACAACCAAAATTATAATAACAGATTTCTGTAACTTACACAATTTGTGAAACATATCAACAAATACCCACAAATGCAACTAAAAGATCTAGTATCACTTATCATTTGTCAATGTCTTTTACACAACTTATCAAATAAGCCTAATAATTTAATATCTCTCAAGATGAGAGAAATCTTTTGAGGCTTCCCAGGGGTTCACCTCAAAAATCTCAGTTAGTTTAGGTTAAAAAGACTAAAACGATTTGATTTGGGGGAAGTTTGCCAAAGATGTTGAAAGTCTCAAGACATTTGATCAAAACAGGATCACAGGTCATTTGTGAAATAATAGTCATTTATGTAACCAGAGTGATAATCACAAGGCTTTAGAAGGAATACAGAGCTACATGGATAAAAACAAACAAAAAAGCCTTAACCTTTAAAAATCTGTTGTTTCTTTTGTGTATTATGCATATGGGTTTTATTTTAAGTAATCAAAAACCTAATAAAGGCAACACAGGACATTTTCTTGATAAAACATAAAACCTGTTTCTTAGGCCAGTTATCAAAAAGGCAAAGAAAAACTTTCTGCAGTACGATTGTTCCTTCTTGGGGGAAGCTCATTTAGATAACCTGGAAGTTGAGCCAGATGAAAAGAGCACTTGAATTCAATTAGACAAAGGAACAATGTTACACAGTAACTGCAACAACTCAGACACATCATGAAAAGCCACAAGTAAAGAATTAAGGCCTTCAAGATGAACATTTTAGTGTCAGGATATAACAGCAGAGTTAGAACCACAGAAAACAGTTATGAAAGCTGACAGAAAAAAGCTGAAGCAAAGAGTTATCAACCCATGCCTTCTCAAAAGGGGAAAAAGCAAAAGGTAACAATGTATGACCTGAAAATCATGTGCTGTGAGACACAGCAAAAGCTGAACCTCCCGCAGGGCATGGTGGCTTACATTTGTAATCCCAGCACTTTGGGAGACCTAGGCCGGTGGATTGCTTGAACCCTGGAGTTTGAGACCAGCTTGGGCAAAATGGCAAAAGCACATCTCTAAAAAAAAAAAAATACAAAAATTAGCTAGGCACGGTGGTGCACACCTGTAGGCCCATCTACTCAGGAGGCTGAGGTAGGAGGATCACTTGAGCCTGGGAAGTGGAGGTTGCAGTGAGTCAAGATTGTGCCACTGCACTCCAGCCTGTGACAGAATGAGACCCTGACACACACACACACACACACACACACACACACACAGTTGAACCTGATATATGAATCTGAGAAACTTCAAAAGGAAAATGCTACCTTAAGAAATAAGGCTGGGCGTGATGGCTCATGCCTCCAATTCCAGCACTGTGGGAGGCTGAGGTGAGAGGATCACTTGAGGCCAAGAGTTCAAGACCAGCCTGGCCAACATAGCGAAACCTCATATCTACTAAAAATTAGCAGGGCGTGGTGGCATGTGCCTGAAATCCCAGCTACTCAGGAGGCAGAGGCAGGAGAATCGCTGGAACCTGAGAGGCAGAGGTTGCAGTGAGCTGAGATCACACCAATGCACTATAGCCTGGGCGACCGGGTGAGACTATCTCCAATAAATAAATGAATTAATTAATTAAAATAATTTTAAATAAAGAAGACAGCATTTTTAACCTGAATTGAGGAAATTAAACAGATATCAGGAAGAAATGTAAGACGAAACAGAAAATGCCTGCAGTTTAGCTTTGCGCAGTGGCAGTATCGTAGCCAATGAGGTCTATCCGAGGAGCGATTACTGCTAATTGAAAAAGAAAAT